>NC_000014.9:76884440-77035955 GCF_000001405.40 Homo sapiens | reverse complement strand
TCCTCCCACCTCAGCCTCCCAAGTAGCTGGCACTACAGGTGTGCACAACTGCACTGCACCTGGTGGCCAGAAGTGCTTTGAGGACTGTAGCCTGCCACAATCATGTGGCCCCTAGCCTAAGGACAGGACAGTACATGTTGGGTGAGTGTCTATACAGCTGGTGTGACCCGTATAAGGTGGCGCACGTTACTTATGTGATATGACTTTTGGGTATGAGAAGAGGCTCCTTCCACTATAAAATGCACTCTCTTCATTTTCCTCCTTGTTTATTGTTCAGCCTGGGGTCTTTCTCAAGAGTGCACAATGAAAATGCTGCTGTCCTTGGTAAGGGTATCTCAGTAAATTCCTAAATGCTTCAGTGAGTTCTAGAACTTCAGATTTTCCTCCATCACCTCTGCCAAGGACCGGGGTATAGAAAAGGCAGGAAGAGACCAGATGCGGTGGTAATCCCTGTACTTTGGGAGGCTGAGGTGAGAGAACTGCCTGAGCCCAGAAGAGACAGGCCTGGGCAACATAGTGAGATCCCCGTGTCTACAAAAAATAAAAAACTAAGCTAGGTATGGGGTGGTGCATGCCTGTAGTCCCAGCTACTCCTAAGGCTGAGGTGAGAGATCGTACCACTGCACTCCAGCATGGGTGAGACCCTGTCTCAAAATAAATAAATAACATGTTTTTGTTTTTGTTTTGGCAGGGGCTGAGCGCAGTTGCTCACGCCTGTAATCTTAGCACTTTGGGAGGCCCAAGCAGGTGGATTACTGGAGTCCAGGAGTTTGAGACCAGCCTGGGCAACATGGCAAAATCCCATCTCTCTCTTTTTTTTTAATACTAAAAATAAAAAATGAGCTAGGCGTGATGGCACACACCTGTAGTCCCATCTACTTGGGAGGCTGAGGTGGGAGAATCATCTGAGCCAGGGAGGTTGAGGCTGTATGGGCTGAGATGGCACCACGGCACTCAGCCTGGGCAACTGAAGTGAGACTTTCTCCAAAAAAAAAAAAAAAAAAGAAAAAGAAAGAAAGTAAAAGAAAAAAAAAGGCAGGAAGAAAGAGAATGGTTTTACAGGATGCCAGGAAAGCATAACTACTCAATTTTGCTTCAAAGCTGGATAGTGATTTTAACTCCAAAATAACCTGTGCTAATTTATGTATAACCTTGCATCTACTGGGACATGAACCTGTAAACTCCAATGGGGAGAGAGGTTTTAATTTCTTGCAGTTTCTGAGGAGCATCTGAGACCCTCAAAAAGGTATAGCAACAGGCGGGGTGAAAGAAGAAATGCGTTTTACAGCCAGGGAACCTGGTTTCCAGTAATTCTGGACTTGGCTTTCCTCACCTATACAGGAGGTTGATGAAAGTAACACCTACTTCACAGGGTTGATGTAGGGATTGGTGAAATAATGTCTGGGAATGCTCTTCCGAGCCCTAGACAAATGTTGGTCATTGTATTGTTAATAATTTCTTACATTTTATTAAGCACATTACATTGTCTTCCACACAGATCAACGAGGCAGGCAAAGGAAGCAGTGTAACTTTTTCCCATTTTACGGATGAAGAAACCGAAATTCAAGAGATTTGCTCAAGTTTACACAGCTGTTTAGGGTCAGCCAAGTCCAAGTTAAACAACATAATGTAAATATGTACCCAAATGCTAAGCGCCCTCCCTTCCTCCCTCTCTCCTGAGTTTCGGGTTGAACTACTCAGCTCACGCAAGCCAAAATATTTGAAGATCCTGGCCCATCCATCCCAACCAGGCACAGCAGTGACAGCTGCCCCATGTACCAGACCTGACCGAGGGATGGCGAGGCTGCAGGGAGGGGCTTCCCGCTCTGAGGCCCCGCCTTCTGGTGGCCCCAGCAGGAAAGCGCCGGCGGCAACGGGTCTCCGTAGCCGGACGGTGGAAATCCCCAGGTCGGTGTGGGCCAGTGGGAACTGGCTGGCACTCCTACTCCCTGCTGAGGCCCAGGCGCGCGCCCGGCGGGGTGGAGGGTCCGGGGGTATGCGCACCTGTGGCCTGGTCGGCCGCCCTGCCAGCTTTCTGCCTATTCTTGCCGTCCAAGGCTTCCTTCCTCTCCAACCCCCCTTTTTGGGGTGTGGGTATTTGTTTTAACCCAACCAGGTCAGTGAATAGCATCCTTGTCTGGCTCTTCCCTCTTTTTTTTTTTTACCTCTAGGCCTGGTACCTGGGCGGCTCATTCCAGGGTTCCTTTATTTTTGGACCTAAAAAAACCACACCAGCTTTTGCTGAGGACAGCGCTGGGCTCCCCCATCCTGGCACGCGGGCAAAGAGAGGAAGCGGGGAGGAGGCAGGAACCAGACGCGACTCCCCCCGCCTTTCTTCCCCTCCCTGTTCCCCGCCCCTCCAGGAAGAAATCAGTCAGAGATCCATCGCTCGCTGTGGCCACTGTGCCTGCACTAAACACTACGCCCGCTCTCCTTTTCCTTCCACCCGATTTTGCACGGAGAGCCCGGCTGCCCGCGCGCCCCAGGCTGGGCAGGTCCTGGCAGGCGGTGCAGGCTTTCCTCCCCCGGGGCTTCTCAGCGAATCACGTTGTTCCTGGGATTTCATGCTCGAGTGGCTCTTGCGTAACCCTACGCCCTGGCCTAAGTTAATACTTTTTTTTTTTTTTTTTCAAATACCGGGATTACTCCTTTAGGGAAAGGCAAATACTTCCGCCACGGAATGGGCCTGGGAGTAAATCTGTAAATCATCTTGCTGTCTCCCTTCCCCCACCCTCCCCAGCCCCTTTGCTCGTCTCTACAGGCCCAGGGCTCAAACTGCGCCTCTGGGGTTCCTGGCGCGCGGCGATCAGGGGCCATCGAAAGGCCAGAGGAGGGCCCAACGCAGACGTTTGTTTTCATCTTCTCCAAGGCGGATCTCGCAGGCCAGAGAAGTGGGTCCCGCTTACCGCGGGGCTGTTACCAAAAAAGGCCTTTCTCTCGCTGGAGCGCTTGGCGGCGCGCGTTGCAGCAGGGTGACGCGAGGTTCAGCCCGGGCCTCCTTGAAGGTTGAGCCAGCTGACTGCAGGGCTGCCAGGCCAAGAGCCCCCCCTCCGCAACACACACACACACCCGCGCCCCGTCTCTGCCACAAAACGGCGGGGGCAGGAGAGAGAGTGCAGGGAGCTTCGAAGTGCGCGCCTGGCGACCTTCTCACCACTAGTAACCTTGGGCTATGGTGCTCCGGCAAGGCCAGGTGGAAAGCTGACCTTTTGCTCCAGTTTAGAGCAGGGTTCTCTGAGGATGCCAGCCCAGATGGCAAGCTGGGTGGGGAAAGCGACAGTAGGAAGGAACTTTGGGAAGATGATGCCGCCGTTTGGCGCCCGGCTCTGCTAGTCTCTGCTTGTCTCCCAGACCCCATGGACAGAGTTCTTTGAGTCTCTACACCTGGCAGTTTACGTTGAGGCTCCTCCACCTCCACCACCCCCCTCCCAAATCCTTTCCAGTTCCTTTCCACCGTTGTCATAGTTTTGTTCCACGGGACTCTTCTTCAGGGAGAAAACCCACCTCCAGAACACTGGAGTTCTAGCCTCTCACCGTCTCTCACACATCCCCAAACGGCCATCTCAGGCAACAAGAGATACCACAAATGATGTTGATTCTTTTTTTTGGTTGGGGGGGGGGGGGCGGTTTGGAGACAGCTGTGTTTTATAAATGAAAGGATTATGAGTCTGTAATGGAAGTCTGTTTAAATACACGTTGATTTCTAACTCAGTGTGTCTGAAGGCACCCCAGCATGTATGTGTGTATATATATCTCCTTTAGTAACAGTGAAGACAGAGACAGACAGGGAGATGGAGACATATGTGTGTGCATACCAAACATAACACCATGACATAGAATCCAACTTGCTTTCTCTAGCAGCCTGGCTGGAGGGTTGTGGCTAAGTTGCTATTTCCCTAATATTTTTGGTTTAATAAAGGGAAGGGCTGAATAAATATTAATGTAAAGAAATGGGTCACCCAACCGAGCCAAAGCTAAGGAGCCCCAGGCTGGCGGGGATGTCAAACCATTTCCCACCCCTATGTTTTGACTCACTCCAGGGTAGCGGTAGTGTGGGGAGGGCTGAAGTCTGGGAGAGTGAGGCAATGCTCCCCAAGCAACTCTTTGCAGAGGAATCACTGCAAAGTGCCAGCAGGCCAGAGAAAGTTTATTATTGCTCTAGAGTGCACAGTGAGCTCACTGTTTTGCAAAAACAGAAATCTGGCTGCTTTGAGATGAAAGAGGGGCTCCCTAGGGCTCCTCCTCCTCTTCTGTCCTTAAAAACTCGCCTTTCCTTTGCACTCAGGGGCCCCAGAATGAGTGGGAGATTGGGGCTCTGGGGAGGGTTGGATAGGGGAACAGGCTCTGGAAGTCAAGTGTCAAAATAAAAGTAAGTATCTCTTGTTGCTTCCACTGAACTTTATTGCAATTACTAGTAATAAGAGTGATAATAGTGATCCTCACAATTTATGCAGTTTACTAAGTACTGTCACATGTCAACCAGCAATAGTACCAACACTAGTATCAATACTAATAATAACTAACACTAACTGTGAGTCCAACACTGCTCTCCATTCTGTATGGTGTATTTAAGTTACAGTCTGGTAGTGACAGATCTACAACTTCTGTATATAGAACTCAGTGGTACAAATGCGCTTGGAAGGGGAGGCTGGGGGTTGGTTATGAAGGTGTATTGGCATAGTACTTACGTAAGATTGTATGTAACACCAAATCAACTGGGGCTGATGGGAATTTTGAGCACCCCAAACCACCTCTGCAAGCCTGAGCTTGTCAAAGACACCTCAAATCAGATTTACTGGATTCAAATCCCAGCCCCATCACTAATGGCTGTAGGCAAGTTATATAGCCTCTTTACTTTCCTGGTTTGTAAAATGGAGGTAAAAGAATCTACCCTGTAGATAATATTAAGGGTTTAATACTGTAATAGGCCGGTCACGGTGGGTCATGCCTGTAATCCCAGCACTTTGGGAGGCTGAGGCGGGAGGATCACCTGAGGTCAGGAGTTCGAGACCAGCCTGGCCAACATGGTGAAAGTCCGTCTCTACTAAAAATACAAAAATGAGCTGGGTGTGGTGGCGGGCGCCTGTATCCCCAGGTACTTGGGAGACTGAGGCAGGAGAATTGCTTGAACCTGGGAGGTGGAGGTTGCAGTGAGCTGAGATTGCGTCACTGTACTCCAGCCTGGGTGACAGAGTGGACTCTGTCTCAAAACAACAACAAAATACTATAGATAATATCCCCTTAATAATGTAGATAATATTAAGGGTGATGCAAGTAAAGCCACCTAGTTTACTAAGGTCCCACGGCAAGTCTAAGTAAGCGTTATCTCTTCTTATGACAAGAAACAAATTGAGGCCGGGTGAGGTGGCTCATGCCTGTAATCCCAACACTTTGGGAGGCCAAGGTGGGTGCATCACTTGGGCCCAGGAGTTTGAGACCAGCCTGGGCAACACGGCAAAACCCCATCCCTTTCCAAAAATACAAAAAAATTGGCCAGGTGTAATGGCACATGCCTGTAGTCCCAGCTACTAGGGAGGCTGAGGTGGGAGGATTACTTGAGCCTGGGAGGTCAGGCTGCTGCCAGCCGCGAGTGTGCCACTGCACTCCAGCCTGGGCAACAGAACAAGATCCTATCTCAAAAAAACAAAAAACCGAAGTTGAAATCTCAAACAACCCTAACAACCTGGGAGCTATCATTCCATTCTCTTTTCCATGGAAAAGAGAGATTTTGTGGGTAACTAGCTTAAGGGTGGAGAGCCAGTTAGTGATGGAGAGGAAATTTCAATCTGGTGGGCCACACTTCAGAATCCGAAATCCCATTATATTGCTTTCCCTTCTCCAGCCTTCCCTGGGATTATCTCAGTTTTCATGAAATAAAAAAAAAAAAAAAAGCAAACCCAATAATTAGAATAATCAATAGAAATGCCCCAACTAGAGCTATGACCAACATATCCATCGTGCCATAAGCAATACTGATGAGCAGTGATCTTGTAAGGCAGAAGAAATCACGGCCTTGGCCGGGCGTGGTGGTTCATGCTTGTAATCCCAGCACTTTGGAAGGCCGAGGCGGGAGGATCACCTGAGGTCAGGAGTTCAAGACCAGCTGGCTAACATGGTGAAACCATGTCTCTACAAAAATACAAAAAATTAGCTGGGCCTGATGGCGGGTGCCGGTAATCACAGCTACTTGGGAGGCTGAGGCGGAAGAATCGCTTGAACCTGCGAGGCAGAGGTTGCAGTGAGCCGAGATCGCGCCATTTTGCACTCCAGCCTGGGCGACAGAGCAAGACTCCGTCTTAAAAAAAAAAAAAAAAAAAAATCACGGCCTTGTTCCGCCTTCTGGGGCAACATGGAGTGAGATCACAGCGCCTGAGAAAGAACTTTGAAAACTGCGGCTGTGCTTTACAAAAATGTATCAGTATTATTAAATGCTGCCTCCACCTTTTAAAAATCAAACTCTAGAAAAAACACTCACCTGTTTGGCCTCTCCGGCCCCTCCCCCTCCCTGCCCTGAACTGCAGCTGTGCGCAGCCAGTTGCCTGTTTTCCTTAAAGGCCTCGGGGTGCTCGTATCTTCTTCAGACGTTCAGCCAAAATTTTTAAAGTGCGGCTGGGGGGAAGGGTAGCGCACTCTGAATTCATTTAGCTCTATCGTTGAAGCCCGGGTTCCTAGATCAGGGCACAAAAACAAATAGAAAAGACAATTTCTGGAAGATTGGAAAACAGCTAATTTTGCAGGTGCTTCGGCATCAGTGGTGGCGATGAATTTAACATCCATGCCGGGGGGGATAAGGTTCAACCGCAGATGAAATGGTTAATACCTTATACGAAATTCACGGCGAAAAATCCTGAAACAGGACATTTAAATTCACTGCCGAGGCTTGGGGGTGGGGTGGGGAGCAGGGATCGGAAACGACGCTAGTGGTTCTTAAATGCGTTTTTACTTGGGAATGCCCGGCAGGGAAAGGAAAGGTCATCGTCTGTTTAATTTCCACCCCCAGCTCTGGACTTCCAGCATTAGCTCGCCGGGCCTCAGCTGTTGTACACACACGGCGAGGGGGGAGGGGAGGGCGGAGGCGCGGAGGAGGGGCCGGCTGGGAGGAATCTGGGCGTCCTGCCGCGCATGCGCCTTGCCTGAGCAACAAGTGGGCTCCACAGAGGAAGTGTAAAGGGGAGGGGGAAGAACTGGTGCAGAGCATGGCGGTGACGTCAGCGCTCCGCCCGGGCGGCATCCCGCGCGGCCAAGCCGGGGACAGCGCGAGCCGCAGCCGGAGCAGGAGCGCCGAGACGCGCCTCCGGAACGTAGAGTAACAATCACAACCCCACATTCCGGGCGAGCGTGAGCACGAGCGGGAAGGGATGCGACCCGGGCCGAGGCGCCGCGCGAGCGCCCTGCAGCCAACGTGAGCGCCGCCAGCCGCGGCGGCCCGGGCGCCGGCCAGGCCTGGGGGCGGCGGGAGCCTGCGTGCGTGCACTCCTCTCCTCTGCTCTCGTGCGTCCTGGAAGCAGTGGCCGCGGCGGCTCCCTCCGGGGTGCAAACCCAGTCGCCGCCAGCAGAACGGCCGACGCTGCGGAGGGGAGAAGGTCCTTTCTCGGCTGCCACCCCCTCCCCCGGTCCTCCGGGGAAGCAGCGGCTTCAGCAAGATTGGACCCGGGCACCGGGTGGCACTGAACCCTCTGGCCCTCGCCCCAGGGGGCCCGTCGGGGAGAGGACGCAGCTCGTAGGGGGGTCCCCGGGGAGAGGAAGAGACAGCCCCTTTCGAGCTTCCACGCACCAGCCACTCCGGGGAGGGGGCCAAGAGGCAACGGCGGCCACCACCGGGCACCCTCGCCCCCTCCCCTCGGGCCGGGAGCTTCCAGCCCAAGTCTGCAGCACCAGGAAGAAGGCGCCTGAGCTCCCCTCGCGACGAGTCAACCGCAGTAGGAGGTGGGGGCGAAGAGAGGGCTGAACCCGTCCGCTGCCCGGGCGGTGGAGCCCCCACGGCGAGGCGCTGCGCCGGCGGTGGAGACTCGCGTTCCCTCCAGCCCCTGGGGCAGAACTTTCTCGCCCCCCCTCCTCCCTCCCCCGCAGTCGGACTCCCTCCCCAGCCGGCCAGTCCTCCCGGAGGAGAAGGCGCCGCGGAGACAGCCCGGGCGGGGGCCTACCTTCCCCAGGGCAGGCATCATGTCGGCGGCGCAGGTGTCCTCGTCCCGGAGACAATCTTGCTACCTGTGCGACCTGCCCCGCATGCCCTGGGCCATGATCTGGGACTTCTCGGAACCCGTATGCCGCGGTTGCGTCAACTACGAGGGCGCTGATCGCATCGAATTCGTGATCGAGACAGCGCGCCAGCTGAAGCGGGCGCACGGCTGCTTCCAGGACGGCCGCTCCCCCGGGCCGCCGCCGCCCGTCGGGGTCAAGACAGTGGCCCTGTCGGCTAAGGAAGCGGCGGCGGCGGCGGCAGCAGCGGCGGCCGCCGCCGCCGCCGCGCAACAGCAACAGCAACAGCAGCAGCAGCAGCAGCAACAGCAGCAGCAGCAGCAGCAGCAGCAGCAGCAACAACAGCTCAACCACGTTGATGGTTCCAGCAAGCCTGCGGTGCTGGCGGCCCCGTCTGGCCTGGAGCGCTACGGCCTAAGCGCTGCCGCCGCCGCCGCCGCCGCCGCCGCCGCTGCGGTGGAACAGCGCAGCCGCTTCGAGTACCCGCCACCGCCGGTGAGCCTGGGAAGCAGCAGCCACACCGCGCGACTGCCCAACGGCCTGGGGGGCCCAAACGGCTTCCCCAAACCAACACCAGAGGAGGGACCCCCAGAGCTGAACCGTCAGAGCCCCAATTCTTCTTCAGCGGCGGCGTCGGTGGCGTCTCGGCGTGGAACGCACGGTGGGCTGGTTACGGGGCTGCCCAACCCGGGGGGTGGCGGAGGCCCCCAGCTCACCGTGCCCCCCAACCTGCTACCGCAGACGCTGCTTAACGGCCCGGCCAGCGCTGCGGTACTCCCCCCACCCCCTCCCCACGCCCTGGGCAGCCGTGGGCCCCCGACGCCTGCTCCCCCAGGGGCTCCTGGGGGCCCCGCTTGTCTCGGGGGTACCCCGGGTGTATCGGCCACGTCGTCCTCCGCGTCGTCTTCGACCTCTTCGTCGGTGGCAGAGGTGGGCGTGGGTGCTGGTGGTAAGAGGCCCGGCTCGGTGTCGAGCACAGACCAGGAGCGCGAGTTGAAGGAGAAGCAGCGCAACGCCGAGGCCCTGGCCGAGCTGAGCGAGAGCCTGCGCAACCGCGCCGAGGAGTGGGCCAGCAAGCCCAAGATGGTCCGCGACACGCTGCTCACGCTGGCAGGCTGCACGCCCTACGAGGTTCGCTTCAAGAAGGACCACTCGCTGCTGGGCCGCGTTTTCGCCTTCGACGCCGTCTCCAAGCCCGGCATGGACTACGAATTGAAGCTGTTCATTGAGTACCCCACGGGCTCGGGCAACGTGTACTCCAGTGCATCTGGTGTGGCCAAGCAGATGTATCAGGACTGCATGAAGGACTTCGGCCGGGGCCTATCCTCGGGTTTCAAGTACCTGGAGTACGAAAAGAAGCACGGCTCCGGGGACTGGCGCCTGCTTGGAGACCTGCTCCCCGAAGCCGTGCGCTTCTTCAAGGAGGGCGTGCCCGGCGCCGACATGCTGCCCCAGCCCTACCTGGACGCCAGCTGTCCCATGCTGCCCACTGCTCTGGTGAGTCTGAGCCGCGCCCCCAGCGCACCCCCGGGGACCGGGGCCTTGCCGCCCGCCGCGCCGTCGGGCCGGGGCGCAGCCGCCAGCCTGCGCAAGAGAAAGGCCTCTCCGGAGCCCCCGGACTCAGCCGAGGGCGCGCTGAAGCTGGGCGAGGAACAGCAGAGGCAGCAGTGGATGGCGAACCAGAGCGAGGCGCTGAAGCTCACCATGTCCGCCGGGGGCTTCGCGGCGCCGGGGCACGCGGCGGGGGGTCCGCCTCCGCCGCCCCCACCTCTGGGACCCCATTCCAACCGGACCACCCCACCTGAGTCAGCCCCCCAGAACGGTCCGTCCCCTATGGCCGCTCTCATGTCGGTGGCAGATACTCTGGGCACAGCGCACTCGCCCAAGGATGGCAGTTCCGTGCACTCTACCACTGCGTCGGCGCGGCGAAACAGCAGCAGCCCAGTCTCGCCGGCCTCCGTGCCGGGGCAGCGCCGCTTGGCATCACGTAACGGGGACCTGAATTTACAGGTGGCGCCCCCGCCGCCTAGCGCCCACCCGGGCATGGACCAAGTGCACCCCCAAAACATTCCGGATTCCCCCATGGCCAACAGCGGACCCCTCTGCTGCACCATTTGCCACGAACGTTTGGAGGATACGCATTTCGTTCAGTGCCCTTCCGTCCCCAGCCACAAATTTTGCTTCCCTTGCTCTAGAGAGAGTATCAAGGCCCAGGGGGCCACCGGCGAGGTGTATTGCCCCAGCGGAGAGAAATGCCCCCTAGTCGGGTCGAATGTACCTTGGGCCTTCATGCAGGGCGAAATCGCGACTATCTTAGCTGGGGATGTTAAAGTGAAAAAGGAGAGAGACCCTTGAACCACTGGGCAGCCACCTCCTTTGCCCTAGACCAGCTCCTCTCCAATCCTGAGGGCCCCTCCCCCAACCCAACTCGACCCTCCCTCCCCTCACCCCCAAGGTGTAGAATTGTGAATATAACGAAACTGCAAAAAGTTAGTCTTATGTATAGACATTATTTTCGTCGTATGTTTCTATATTTTGAAACAAAGGTATGTAACTTCTTCATTTGAAGGATAAGCTGGTTTGTGTTAAGCAGTATAGTATTGGTTGGGTCATTTGCATCATATCGTTAGCATTTATTTGGTGGCAGAATGTTTGCCTAGGTACAGAATTAATAGCCCTTAGCAACGACTGCTGCTGGTGTGTATTTTTGTAAATGTTATGCACTCTCTGAAAGGAAAAACACACACAAAAGAAAAAGACTTTTTTTTTTTTTTTTTTTTTTTTGCCAAGGCCAGTGTTGCTGCCTAAAAAAAAAAAAAAAAAAAAAAAAAAAAAAAAAAAATGCTATAAAATGGTGAAAGCTTCCTTCTAAACTGCCCCAAGTGTTGAAGTCTTCACTTTATTTTGTTGTTTTGTTTTGTTTTTCTGTTTTGTTTGCAAAATGGTAAGGGGGTGTCGGGGGGGATGGGGTGTATTTTGTTGCAAGTTTGTGAGGGGAAAATGTTTTGGTTTGTTTCTACTGACCTGAATGTGTTGGATCTACACGTGTTGTTTTGTTTTTGCTTTATTGATGCACGGATGCTTTTGAACAGTAGAGCGAAATGCTAGACATGGAGAATCTGCTCTGTTTGTCCTTTATACATTTCTGTAGTTAACAGAACACTGTAATGTGCCTTGGAGCTTAGTAACTTGTAATAAATTCAATTGATATTAACTGCGCTGAGTCAGCAATTTTGTCTTTCTAGGGCTAAGGCCATGCAACTCCGACGTAGGCGACACCCTCCCTACCTCCAGTATAGAACGAAAATCCTAGTGCTTTTGAAAGCCCTGGGAGCTGGCCTGTGGGAAAGGCCCTGTGCTGCCTTGCTGCCCCTCCCCCTCGGTACCAGGCTATTTAAATTCACCTCTTGGGGAGGCGACAGTTGCTGACTAAGCGATTTCGGTTTACTCTTCAGCATCTCTATTTTCCCCCGGATGCGGGCCCAGCTGCAAATGGCATTGTCAAGAATGCTTTCTGGTGCCTCGCCCTGTGGCGGTGAACATAGGCTGACACCCAGTGCAGCTGGTGACTTGACAAGTGGGCGAAAAAGTCTAGGAGAAAAGCTAGGATGCTTTGCTTCTTAGATATGACAGACATCAGTCTGCATATTTAAAACAAAACTGCCACAGAGCTGGGAGCAAATGCATACACTCAGCCTTGGAGAGTCCGCAGTAGCTTCAGGCTGGTTCCTTGGAAAACCAGTTTTCACCTCATTCATTACAAGTTTTCTTTCTTGTATTTTAAATAATTATTTTTAAAGGCAGAAATAATTCTAAAGACTTAGTTGATTAGAGAGGGTTTCTGAGGATGAGGAAGAGGGGGGGAAACCCCAAACTTAGTTCCTGAAGCAAAGGTTTACTTCCAACATCAAATAAAAATCCATTCCTGCTGGTGAAGCAATGCAATTATTCATCTAATCAGCTTTTGGCGGCGTTTGTGAGGTGCAGAGAGGCGGGGAAGCGGAGAGAAGACTACTGCCCTTTAGAGCAGAGCCCCTGCTCGTGGGCTGAGAGCAGCCTGGAGTCCTCCCAGTGGTAGGGGAAGGCAAACAAACCTGATCTGAACCTTGTACTTTCCTGGGAGGCAAATAGAAGAGCAGAAAACAGGAGGGAGGAAGCAAAACAAAACCCGGCAATCCAGTCAAATTGATTCCTGGCCACATCTCATTCCTGGGCGGGGCGAGCTGGGCCCTGTTGGTCCCCTCCAAGGCTGAAGGACTATTAAGAAACTTGGATCCCCCACTCCACTCCCATCAAAGGAGTGGGAAGACTGGGAGGTGGGGATGGGTACAGGCACGTTTGGGGAGAAACAAATCACTGGTTCGCCCAGAACTCTGGTGTGGAGGCCGGGCTGGTGTCGGAACTTGTTAATAACACCCTTTTAGTTTCTTTTCCTGCTTTGCCACTGCCATCACTGAAGTGGTGGAAACCAGGACTCTGTGTGCACGCGCACTCGCGTGTGTGTGTGTGGGTGTGGATAAGTGGCAATATTGATGGATCTGCTGCAGCCTCTTAATCCTGGTACATGGGAGGTGCCTGCCTCACCTCTAAGAATCTCCCCACATATAAATAGATATTCATGTCAGCTTCCTGCAAATGTGTCCTTGCATTTTCATCTGCTGCCAAGTGTTGTATTGGTGCTTATGAGTCATGAAACCTATTTTCATCCGCAGGGGTAATTAACTTGGGGGTGATAATGCATAGCAGACTGTAGGAAGAGTTAATTCCAAAACCCATCCTCGCCTGGCTACCAATCACACATTGCACTTAAAGGTCTGGGTTGGCTTTTTGTGTAAGTTCATTAATAAAAACCAAGCATGTTTTGCCTGGAAGATCCTCTAAGATGCTCCCAACTCCCGCTCCCAAGGCACATACTCTTAAAATTGGTAAAGCTCAACAGCCTGAGAATACAGTGTCACGGGTATAATTTAACTATCATTGAAGGAAGGAGCGGTGGGTGCAGCCACCCCTCCTCCGGCATTGCACAGTGCATGTGAATTTAGACATGTGGATCACCTGTCTGGGCGTGGACCTTATGAGTTGTGTCTGGTGGCTCCAGCTGGGAGTTGTCCCTGTTACCGGTTTCTGTGCACAGCTGCTCCTGCCGGCCTGCAACTGTCTCTTCATCACTATGGTATTATGCTCAGGAACTTTTAGGATTGTAAGACCCTTGATTACTAGTGCACATAGGTAGGAAAGGAGGGCCTGTCTTTAAGCACTGAGAACAGCATCGTTTCTTTCCTTCTTGTTGCTGGGTGCTATTATGAACAGTAGAAGCAGCAGCTGTAATAATGAGGCATCCAGCCATGGAGGCCAGTTTGGTTTCACTAAGGAAACCTGACTAGAGACGTTGGGGAGAGGAGGGAGGGAGTGGGAGGGAGAGAGCAGGTTGGGGTGGAACCCAGGCTAGAAGTGAATTATGATAGTGCAGTTAATTAAAGTTTATCATAGCCGGGGACCACTTGTTAAATGGAGGCTTTTTTTTTTTTTTAAACCATGTGAACTTTTCCTTTCCTGGGACCCATTCAGCTGCTAGTTTGGTTGCCTTAACCAGCCTTTCTCTGATCCCTCAGCTGGATTCTCCTTTCCCTGAAGCTTTCCACATTGGACGCCTAGGAAGCACTTTTCCTCTCTGGCGTGTAAGGATTCTTGTGGGTTTCTGAGATTCAGCCCAGGCCTCTGGATGAGCCGAGGCTCCATTCATCTCCATTTTACCTCCATTTCTTCTGACCCTCGTTTCCTATCCTTCTCACTCCCTTTCCCCTCAGAGCCAAAGTGGCCAACATTTAAAAATTCATATTTATCTTTGTGCATCATTTGTGCAGCAAATCCAAACGACATGTTTAAGTGGGCAGAGTGGTGGGGCAATGAGGACTCAATTCAACAGCTTTGAGAGAATAGGCCAATGGGAGTAATTTCTTGACCTTGATCTCTGAAGGCAGCACCATAGTCCACCATCGAAGGCGGCTCACCGTATCAAGTCCTCAATGTAAGATTCAAGGTGCGTTTTCACTTGCATCCAGCCCAGACTGGCTGATGTAATAAATACTGAAACTCACTTTTGTTTTCTGTAATACTTCATCAAGTCAGGAAGTTGGAATTGGGGCTGGGCGCTTTGGGAGGCTGAGGCAGGCGGGTCACCTGAGGTCAAGAGTTCGAGACTAGCCTGGCCAATATGGTGAAACCCCGTCTCTACTAAAAATACAAAATACAAAAATTAGCTGGGCGTGGTGACGTGTGCCTGCAGTCCCAGCTACTCGGGAGGCTGAGGCATGAGAATTGCTTGAACCTGGGAGACAGAGGTTGCAATGAGCCAAGACAGCACCACTGCACTGGGAATGACTCTTAAGGTCATCTAGTGAAATGTTCTCTAAACCTTTCTGGGGTCAGAGACACCTTGGAAAAATCTAGCAAAAATTATGGCTCCTCCCCAAGATATACCAGTGCCCACATACACAAGGATTTGCATACATTTTTTTCTTTTTTAATATACATTTTATATATTTGTTTTTGAGAAGGTAATACATTCCTTTGGTTCAAAACTCAAAGAATGAGGCCTGGAGTGGTGGCTTATGCCTTTAATCTCAGCACTTTGGGAGGCTGAGGCAGGAGGATTGCTTTAGGCCAGGAGTT
This sequence comes from Homo sapiens, assembly GCF_000001405.40. NCBI lineage: Eukaryota > Metazoa > Chordata > Mammalia > Primates > Hominidae > Homo > Homo sapiens. The sequence continues at coordinate 77,021,084 of NC_000014.9, read as the reverse complement.
CGAGACTGGTCTGGGCAACATAGTGAGACCCTTCCTCTACAAAAAAAATTTTAAGATTAGCCGGGCAGGCTGGGCGTGGTGGCCCACACCTATAATCCCAGCACTTTGGGAGGCCCAGGCAGGCAGATCATTTGAGGTCAGGAGTTCAAGACCAGTCTGGCCAACAAGGTGAAACTTGTCTCTACTAAAAATAGAAAAAAATCAGCCAGGTGTGGTGGCACACGTCTGTAATCCCAGCTATTCAGGAGGTTGAGGAGGGAGAATCGCTTGAACCTGGGAGGTGGAGGTTGCAGTGAGCCGAGATCACACCATTGCACTCCAGCCTGGGTGACAGAGCTAGACTCCTTCTCAAAACAAACAAACAACAACCAAAAATTAGCTGGGCAAGGTGGTGCATGCCTCTGGTCCCAGATACTTGAGAGGCTGAGGCGGGAGGATCACTTGAGTCTGGGAGGTCGAGGTTGCAGTGAGCAATGATTGTGCCATTGCCCTCCAGCTTAGGCAACAGAGCAAGACCCTGCGTCAAACAAACAAAAAAACAAAGGATGCAAAGGGGAATATAGTACAATGGCCCCTCTGCTACTCAGTTCCCTTCTGGGATGCAACCAATACTACTCAATTTCTCAAGGCATTTATGCACATCTAAAGCCCATTCATGAATTGAGGTTAGAACTTACGTCTGGTCTGGCCGGGCGCCGTGGCTCACGCCTGTAATCCCAGCACTATGGGAAACTCAGGTGGGCGGATCACCTGAGGTTGGGAGTTCGAGACCAGCCTGACCAACATGGAGAAACCCCGTCTCTACTAAAAATACAAAATTAGCCAGGCATGGTGGCGCGTCCCTGTAATCCCAGCTACTGAGGAGGCTAAGGCAGGAGAATTGCTTGAACCTGGGAGGCAGAGGTTGCAGTGAGCTGAGATCGCACCATTGCACTCCAGCCTGGGCAACAAGAGCAAAACTCTGTCTCAAAAAAAAAAAAAAAAAAAAAAAAAAGAACTTATGTTTGGTCCATCCACTTTGTAATGATGAAGACCCCAAGCCACAGAGAGGTGAAATAACTTGCCTATGGTCACACAGTGGCAGAGTCTGGGCTAGATTCTTATTAGGGAACAGCTATAATAGCCTTTTTTTTTTTTTTGAGACGGAGTCTCACTCTGTCGCCCAGGCTGAAGTGCAGTGGTGCAATCTCGGCTCACTGCAACCTCCGCCTCCCGTGTTGAAGCAATTCTCCTGCCTCAGCCTCCCGAGTAGCTGGGACTACAGGCACCCGCCACCACACCTGTCTAATTTTTTGTATTTTTAGTAAAGATGGGTTTCACCTTGTTGGCCAGGATGGTCTCGATCTCCTGACCTTGTGATCTACCTGCCTCAGCCTCCCAAAGTGCTGGGATTACAGGTGTGAGCCACCATGGCTGGCGACTTCTTCTTTTTTTTTTTTTTTTTTTTGAGACGGAGTCTTGCTCCGTTGCCCAGGCTGAAGTGCAGTGGCACCATCTCGGCCCACTGCAAGCTCCGCCTCCCGGGTTCACGCCATTCTCCTGCCTCAACCTCCCGAGTAGCTGGGACTACAGGTGTGCGCCACCAAGCCTGGCTAATTTTTTGTATTTTTAGTAGAGACGGGGTTTCACTGTGTTAGCTAGGATGGTCTCGATCTCCTGACCTCGTGATCCGCCTGCCTCGGCCTCCCAAAGTGCTGGGATTACAGGCATGAGCCACCGCGCCTGGCTTTTTTTTTTTTTTTTTTTTTTTTTTAAGTATACTTGAGGCCGGGCGCAGTGGCTCACGCCTGTAATCCCAGCACTTTGGGAGGCCAAGGTGGGCGGATCACTCAAGGTCAGGAGTTCGAGACCAGCCTGGCCAACATGCTGAAACCCCATCTCTACTAAAAATACAAAATTAGGAGTGGTGGTGCACACCTGTAATCCCAGCTACTCGGGAGGTGAGGCAGGAGAATCTCTTGAAACCAGGAGGTGGAGGTTGCAGTGAGTTGAGATTGCACCACTGCACTCCAGCCTGGGCAAGAGTAAAACTCTATCTCAAAAAAAAAAAAAGAATACTTGAGAGCTGGGCATGATGGTGTAATCCCAGCTACTTAGGAGACATGAGCATTGCTTAAGCCCAGGAGATTGAGACTAGCCTGGGCAGTCTTGGGGAAAAAAAAAGATGAAAGAAAAATTTAAGGACAGTTTCTATGAGGAGTGATGATAAGGGGGGCAAAAGGATAGCGATACCTGGTCCAGTGGGGTTCACCGTTTTTACTAATTCTTGGAGGACTAGCAAAAAACATTTATCCCTTGTAGCCTTTGGGGGAAGGGAATGTTCAGAGATATTTCTAGGTTTCTGACTGTAAATGTCAGGTGGGCCTGAACTGGTAGAGTCTTTTTTTTTTTTTTTTTTTGAGACAGAGTCTCACTCTGTCGCCCAGGCTGGAGTGCAGTGGTGCGATCTCAGCCCACTGCAACCTCTGCCTCCTGGGTTCAAGCGATTCTCCTGCCTCAGCCTCCTGAGTAGCTGGGACTACAGGCGCCCATCACCACACCTGGCTAATTTTTGTCTTTTTAGTAGAGACGGGGTTTCACCATATTGGCCAGGCTGGCCTTGAACTCCTAACCTTGTGATCTGCCCACCTCTGCCTCCCAAAGTGCTGGGATTACAGGCGTAAGCCACTGTGCCTGGCTGGTAGAGTCTTTTTTTAACCTTTGATCTGTGGCCCTTCACACCACCTCCCCTCTTTGCTGATGGGAAACTTTTGAAGGTTTTTTGTTTTTTTGTTTGTTTGTTCTTTGTTTTTTGGAACAGGGTCCCGCTCTCTTCCCCAGGCTGGAGTGCAGTGGCATGTCCACGGCTCACTGCAGCCTCCACCTCCTGGGCTCAAGCCATCCTCCCGTCTCAGCCCCCTGAGTAGCTGGGACTACAGGTGCATGTCACCACCATGCCTGGCTAAACATTTTTTTTAAAGAGATGGGGTCTTGGTACATTACCCAGGCTTTTGAAGGTTTAGAGTCAGATAAGCAACTGACTCCAAACCAACAGGGAGCAACTATCTTGGCATGGAAGGAGGGGGTAAGGGAGGGACACCAAGGACTCCCCCGTTTTCCCTTCAGCTTGGGGCTTCTCAGTTCTCTCCCTGCCACCCACCTCTGCCTGGCCATCTCTCCTCCACAGCTAAAGGGGGAACTGAAGGAGTCTAGGGACAGGCCAGATGCTGTGCAATGTGCCTGGCAGCTGCACATTGTACCATTCCAGCTTTAGGCCTGTCTAGGAGGAAGGCGTGATGAGCCCCACTTTATAGATGTGCCAACTGAGCTCAGAGAGGTTAAGTAGCCAAGGCCCTTTAGACCCAGTGCAATCCAAGCCCCAGGCAGCCTAGAGCCTGGGTCTGCCCAGACTCCAGTGTTCCTTTGTGCAGAGGGCCACAAACTTCTGACCTGCAGAGCCCAGGAAACCAAGACTCACAGCACCAGCCCCATCCCTTGGCCCTTTCCACATCTCCTTGAGTCTGAGTGTGAGCCTCACCGACACCAGTGAGCAAGGCTATCTACAGGCAGGGCTGTCAGGAAGCCCCTTGGGGAGAACACTTTCTAGGTTCTATGTTCATCTTTAATTATTTTTATTTTATTATTATTATTATATATATATTTTTAGAGATAGAGTCTCTGTTGCCCAGGCTGGAGTGCAGTGGCGTGATCTCAGCTCACTGCAACCTCTGCCTCCAGGATTCAAGCGACTCTCCTGCCTCAGCCTCCCGAGTAGCTGGGATTACAGACGCCTGCAACCACGCCCAGCTAATTTTTGTACTTTTAGTAGAGATGGGATTTCTCCATGTTGGCCAGGCTGGTCTCTAACTCCTGACCTCAAGTGATCTGCCCACCTCAGCCTCCCAAAGTGCTGGGATCACAGGCGTGAGCTACCGCACCCGTCCTAGGTTCTATGTTCTGAGGGAACACAGTGGAGCTGTCCAAGCAGTATTTCCAATCAGGGATTCTGGAGCAGGGCTGTTCTTCTGAAGTCGTCCTCAGTTGCCTCCTACCCTCAAACTTAATTTAAAAATGAGCTTACCTCTGTCTCATTTTTGATGGAACAGAGAGATGACAGGAAACAGGCAGTGGCCCTGATTTGTAAGGTATATTGCTTCTGTGGGGAGTATCTACCCCACTAGCTGGTGTCTTCCCTCCCAGTCTTGCTTTTTTTTGAGACAGAGTTTCACTCTTGTTGCCCAGGCTGGAGTGCAATGGTGCAATCTCGGCTCACTGCAACCTCCGCCTGCTGGGTTCAAGCAAGTCTCCTGCCTCAGCCTTCCAACTAGCTGGGATTACAGGCACACACCATCATGCCTGGCTAATTTTTGTATTTTTAGTAGAGACGGGGTTTCTCCGTGTTGGTCAGGCTGGTCTTGAACTCCTGACCTCAGGTGATACGCCTGCCTCGGCCTCCCAAAGTGCTGGGATTACAGGCGTGAGCCACCGTGCCTGGCCTCAGTTTTGTTTTCTTCAGGCTGAAATGCTGGTCAGTTACCTCTTGGGCGTAGCTTGATTGTCCTGCCTCTTTGGGGGTCACAGGTGTGCATCCACCAGGTCTGGGGTGCTGGATCCAGGAAAGCTTACCTCTCTACATGGGAACTATAATTGTGGCTCCCAGGTTTAGGTTAGACTCGAGAGAAGTGTCCCAACTCCTGACTGGTCTCCCGTAAGCTCTGGTGTCTGCCCACTTCAGGCCATGGCTTTGTAGCAGAATCCATTTTTTTTCTACATCTGAGCAAGTCACACCCTTGCTTAGAAACCTCCCTTGGCTCCCTGTTGCCTACAGGGTAAGTCCAAATTTCTTAGAACAACAATCAAAGCCATCATCCACCATTTCGCCATCCCAGGAGTTTGTTTATTTATGTATTTATTTCAAAACAGAGTCTTGTTCTGTTGCCCAGGCTGGGCAGTGGCACAATCCTGGCTCACTGCAACCTCCGCCTCCCAGGTTCAAGTGATTCTCCTGCCTCAGCCTCCCGATTAGCTGGGACTACAGGTGTGCACCACCACGCCCGGCTAATTTTTTGTATTTTTAGTAGAGACAGGGTTTCACTATGTTGGCTAGGCTGGTCTCGGACTCTTGACCTCAAGTGATCTGCCAGTCTCAGCCTCCCAAAGTGCTGGGATTATATAGGCGCAAGCTATCGTGCCTGGCCCCAGGAGTATTTTAATTTTAAAAAAGGTATTAGATACACATGGTAAAAGAAAAAAAAATCAAAGAGCCTGAGAAGATACTCAGAGAAAAGTAAGTCGGTCTCCTTCTCATTCCAAATCTCCAGTTCCCCTGCACTGTGGGCAGTTATTTCGTGTACATGTTCAGCAGTATTAAAAGCACAGAGAAGCTTAGATCTATAATATATGTCTCCTGAGGGCAGATCTTAGGACAAGCCAGGAAAAGCGGAAAGGTCCAGGACAAGGAACTGGGCTTGGGTCAGACAGAGCCCCAATCTGGGTCTGGGGGCTGATGGAAAGTCAGCAAGATGCCCCCTGCCCCCACAGCCAAGGATTGGTTCTGGTGCATCCTAGGCTTCTGGGCAAGGAGTGTGAGTGAGTGAGTGTGTGTGTGTGTGTGTTTGTGTGTATCTTTGGCCCACAGGCCCACATCCAGGGCATTCACATCCCTGTGTTTAGCTGGGTGCCCTGAGCAGCCCCTGGATGACTGGACATTCTCTGGAAGGACTTGGGGGAAGAAGTGGGGCAGTGTCTATGGAGGCCAGCTATCCCAACAGCGTCCAGAGCCTTCCTTACCAATAGCCTCATTCCCCTCCCTCTCCCACCAGCCACAGCAGCTCGTGGAGGCTGTCAGAATTGTACTCCTAGGTCACAGACAGGGATGCTGTGGTTGAAAGAAAAGACTGAAGGAGAGACATTATTATTATTATTATTTGAGGCAGAGTCTCACTCTATTACCTAGCCCGGAGTGCAGTCACGCACTCTTGGCTCACTGCAGCCTCCATCTCCTGGGTTCAAGTGATTCTCCTGCCTCAGCCTCCTGAGTAGCTGGGATTACAGGCAAGTGCCACGATGCCTGGCTAATTTTTGTATTTTCGGTAGAGACAGGGTTTCAACATGTTGGCCAAGCTGGTCTCTCACTCCTGGCCTCACGTAATCAGCCGGTCTCGGCCTCCCAATATGCTGGGATTACAGGCGTGAGCCACCATGCTCCATGGGAGAGAAATTATTGACTGTAGACTTTGGAACTGACAGTGGGCCAGGCACTGTCATATATGACTTCTCCTTCATTATGGTAAATCTTTGAGGCTGGTCGTGGCCATGATTCTCCTTTGAAAGGAAAATCCCCACAGTAGGTCCTATTATTGGTCCCATTTCATAGACAGGCAATCGAGACAGGGGTAAATAACTCACCCCTGCCTGGCTTCACTCCTCTTTGTCACCTGAAGGACAGTTCACACCCTCCCCTCACTCTGCCCCCACACCTCGCTTTTCACCAGCACAGACCCTGCCAGCTGGGGGTGGTGTTTTTGAGGGGAGGAGTGAGCACTTGGAACCCCAGAGCTGCAGTTCCAGGAGGTCTGGGTGCATCTGAGAACAGGTTTGCGTGGCTGGGGGCGCCGGGGGCAATACTGATGGCCAGCACCCTGGGAGAGGCGGCTGTGGAATGTAGGGCCATGTGAACGTGAAGGAATTAACTCTGTGCCCCTGGGTCTCAGCCCAGACGGTCATGTGACCACCTCCCACAATCTCCCCCCTCCCCTGTGTCTGCCTGGAGCTGGAGGTTCACAATGCCCTGTTCTGCTTGGACTGGAGCTGGTGGCAACTGATCCCTGACTTGGGGAGTTGCCAACATGCCTATTCTTCTGGGGCCTCTGGAAGTAGGATAGTTTCAACGGTGGGAGTTTCAAAGGTGACCTTGGTAGGTGACCTTGGGAGCTTCCCAAGGTAGAACAGAAAGGGGGAGAGCTGGAGAGTCCAAAGGAGGAGCTGCTGCGGAGCCTACCACCTTGCCTGGGGCTAAACCAACAGGCCAAGCCACTTGCCAAAAGGTGGCTTTTCGGGCTCCAAGTCAGTCCTGCCCCAGAAGGGCCTCCAGCTCACCTCAGTGAGTGTGGTGACCCCAGTGGGGCTGGGACAGAGGCAGGGCTGGCCCTCAGGCAGGGAGCCAGCACCTGCAGCTCCTCTTTAGGCCCAAGGACCCCTTGCCTTGTACCCCCCTACCTGGTCCCAGCCTTGCCCCTACACATGGATAAGAAGTAGGTGGTCAGGAGGTGTCCGCCAGCCATAGCTGGTGCCTCCAGCACCCTGGGTGCAGGCAGTGCCTCTAACAGCTTCCACCTCCTTTTTCTTTTTCTTTCTTTCTCTTTTTCTTTTTCTTTTTTTTTTTTTTTCTGAGACGGAGTTTCGCTCTTATCGCCCAGGCTGGAGTGCATTGGTGCGATCTTGGCTTATTGCAACCTCTGCCTCCCAGGTTCAAGTGATTCTCCTGCCTCAGCCTCCCGAGTAACTGGGATTATGGATGCGCGCCACCACGCCTGGCTAATTTTTGTATTTTTAGTAGAGACAGGGTTTCTTCATGTTGGCTAGGCTGGTCTCTGTCTCTAACTCCTGGCATCAAGTGATCTGCCCGCCTTGGCCTCCCAAAGTGCTGGGATTACAGGTGTGAGCCACCGCGCCCGGCCTACCACAGGGCTCTTTCTTTGCCCACTGTGGCTGAGTGCCTGGCGCAGGGTTCCTGTTCCTGGGGATGGCAGAGGTGAGGGAAGTCTGGAGCAGGCTGTGGAGAGTACTCAGCCCAGGATGTGCTTCTGCCCAACACGTGGCTTCCTTCTCCTTTTGCCCACCTATCACGCCCCTCCTCCTTCAAGACTCATCCAAGCTCCACGCCTCCGTGAAAACGTGCTTTCACTCAACATACATCTATCGATTGATGTGTGGGTTCAAATCTTGGCTCTGCTATTAACTTTGGGCAAGTTACTTGATCTCTCTGGGCTTGAGTCCTCCCTGGGAAGGAGGAATATCCCTCACAAGGTGGCAGGAAGAATCCAAAGAGACAGTGGTGCATGTTCTGTGTCAGCACCAGCCAGCTTGTTGGCTTCCAGTGACTGTTAGCTGTCTTGTTGCCCTTATTCTTGCCTGGCTCAGGGGTCTCCTGCCACCAGGACTCTCAGCACTGGGGGACGGGGCAAAGGAAAGTCAACAGCAGCACTGGCGATGGTGCTGTGACCATGGTGCTCAGGAGCACGGGTCAAGGCCACGGGGAAAGACCTCTTTCTGGAGATAGGGCCCATAAAGGACGAGGAGCGAGGATGATAGAAAGGAGCTCCTGCTGGAAGTGAAACTGGGGAGGCAGGAGAGCAAGTTCCCTCCGGAAAGGCAAAGACTTAGTTGGGTTTGGCTGGAGAGTGGGGAGGAGGCGAGGCAGGACCAGCCAGCAAGATCTTCTGTGAGAAAAAAACGTGGGTCTTGGAATTAATCACAAAGGGCCCTTGAAGGATTCTGTGAGCTGCGAGGGACATGGCCTGATTTGCCATTTGGAAAGATCTTTCTGGCAGCAGTATGAGGACTGGATTGGAGGGGAGGGAAAACCAAGATTGAGAAACCAGCTAGGAGGCGATTGCAGTTATCCAGGCGAGAGGTGGTGAAGCCGAAGGAGGAGGGGGCTGTGGCGCTGGGAGAGGCTGAGCGTGAGCACTGTGGGGAGGAGAGGTCCACGGGCCCTGGTGCCCAGACTCAGGAGGATGAGGCAGAGGGAGAAAGGGGGCAGGGTCATCCCTCAGCTTGGGTGCCCAGGGAATGCCGCAGGCCAAGGAGGGTTAGGGGAAGAGGCCCAGCTCCCCTCTGGACACCGGGGTTGGGGCAGGGAATGAGATGATGGATAAGCAGGTAGACACGCAGGTCTGGCCTCTGCACACAGGTCTAGGCAAGAAGTGAGAGGTGTTGTCCTCTTTGTGGGTGGTAGGTAGAGGTGTGAGTTTGGAAGAGGGCCCTGAAAGGAAAGTGGGCAGAATGAGGAGATGAGATGGAATGGTGGGAGCTAGTGCTCCAACATCCCAGGCCTAGGGGAGGAACAGCCCGGGAGGAGAATGAGTAGCAGGAGGGGTGGAAGGATGATCCCAAGAAGTGGTGTCTGGTCTGCCGAAGGAGACCTGCGGACCGGGCTCAGGGTGAGAGTCAGGTGCTGGGCTGAGATGGAGGAAGGTAAGGCCAGAAAGGTGTCTGTTGGACTTGGCAATATGGAGTTCCTGGAGATCTTAGCCAGGGAAGCATGGCTATGCTTCCCATGTTTCAGGCAAGAATGAAGGAAGCAGAGGCTGAGACACACTGTGTCGAGGGGTCGGTGGGCCAAGTGTGGGGACAGCAGAAGGCCCAGCTTGTCCTAGTCTCTTGGCTCTGACGGGAAGGAGAGAATGGCAGCCAGGGGACAGGTGGGGAGAGTGTCCTTGATGCCAGCTGAGAGAGACACAAGCATGTGTGCAGGGAAAGGGCTCATCCAGGAGAGGCTGAAGACCCTGGAAGGGGGATGGGAATGAATGAAGTGGCAGCTTTCAAGAGGGAGGTGGCGGTATAGGTACTGGAAACTCATAATATTAACAATAGCTCTCATACACATAGCGCTTACAATGTGCCAGGCACCCGTCTGCTTTATGTATACTGCCCCACCCAATCTGCACAACAGCTCTACAAAGTAGCTGCTTGTATAGGAAGTGCACCTGATAGCAATCACTTCAGCACACACTGAGAATGACCCTGTATGGCAGATGCACCTGCACGTGTGTTCCAAGCTAGGGGGTCTGGGAGTGGCCAACCTGGAGATTGGTTCCTTGCCTATGAGGAACAGCTGAACCCCCAGTCTGCCCTATGGAACTTGGGCCATACAGAGATGGGGGCCCCAAGTTTTGCGCTGAAAGAAGGTTGCCAGGTGGAGGTTGTTAGGGAAAGGGTGCTAAGTGACAATGCTCTATAAACTGCATGCCTTTTGCAAGCAGTTGCGTTTCTTCTGCCCAACCCGCTGCCGCTGAACTCTCTTCCCTGAATGTAAGTCCCCAGTAAAGCCCCAGTGCTCTATCATTTGCTGGCACTGGGTCTCTGCTACGGCCTCTTGAACCTGGTGCCATCCCCACTGGAATTGACAGGGGATTGGCACAACAGTGCTATTATAGTCCACATTTTACAGATGGAGAAATCCATGCACAGAGGTTAAGAAACTCGCCTAAGTTTACACAGCTGATATGTGGTGTTGCTGGTGTGTCAGGATTTGAACCCAGGCAGGGGGCCTCCAGAAGTGTGTAGTGGTCAAGAGCATAGATTCTGGGGCCAGACTGTCTCTCAGTTTCCCCACAAAGAAAATGGGCATGAGAATTGTACTTACTTCATAGTGCTAGTGGTTGGATTATATGCATAAGTGCCCATAAAACTCTAGAGTGGGGCTTGGTACATAGAGAGCTTGGAGGGGGATGCACCTGGGACAGAACTGGGGCCCCACTTACACTGGGAGCAGAGGGAGGAAGCCAGAATGGAGAGATGGAGAGACTTGCAGGGACCCCTCAGGACTTTTCTGTAATATTTATTTATGGGTGCTCTCCTGACCAGACAGGACTCCTTGCAGGAAAGTTTAGGAGCAATTTGCGGTAGAGCTGAAGAAGCCTTTGGGACCAGACCCTGGTCTCTTTGCTCTACTCAGTAGCTATGGAACCTTCTGCACATTACTCTGAGAGCCTCAGCCTCCTCTTAGGCCCAAGGCGGCAGTGATGCCCACCTTGCTGGGCTGTGGCGAGGATTAAATGAGACCATGTCTGTGAGCAGGTGTGCCCAGCTCAGCTCCTTGCCTGACACCAGGTGCCACTCATTAGGCAGCTACTTCCACCACTTCTACAAATGCTGATGGAGCTCCCAGCAGGGGCCGGTGCTGTTCTAGAGTGAAATTAGTAGTATTAGTCCTGAAGCCTTCGCACAGTGCCTAGATGCTCAGTAAATGTTGGTCAGATGAGGAAAGAGGTTGTCTCCAGCAAGGATCAAGGAATGGGTCAAGGAAGAGGTGCTAGGATTAATTAGTCAGAAAAGGGGAGGAGAGTAGAGAGGCTCACTGCCTCACTCCATCCAAGTCAGTTCTTTAGGGATGATAGATTGTCGGGGGCTATGGGGTAGCCCCTGGTTACATGCAGATGTGACCTGGAAGATGAGAGGTGAGGTCAAGAGTGCCTGAGGATGGTGGTGGGGCCTCCAGGTCAGTGGAGGACTTGCTTCCCAAGGCCCATGGCAATCGTACTTGCCTTATGTCTGGGATATGTAATTTCCCAGGTAAGGGAGGAGTTTATTTGGGGGACAGTGTGGGTTCTGTGCAGGACTGCCTTCATGGGTGTGGACCTGTGCACTCACAAGCGGTCCGACATTCAAAAGAGATGGTTGAATGTTCTGCTATCACTGTCTTGCAATTCTTGATCATTTGGAACAAGGGGCTTTGCGTTTTCATTTTGCATTGTGCCCAGAAAATTATGGAGCTGGTTCTGGGACCTGGAGTGCTTGTGTGTCTCCTCGCTCATAATGTTGGAGGCTCCTCGCCGTGGTAGAAGTTGAGAGGTGCCTGGCTAGGCAAAGAGGGTTGAAGCAGGAGAGCTTGTGGCTTTGCCCCTCTGGAGGCCTGAGCAGGGGTGAGACCAGTGGGTGTGAAGTAAAGCATGCTGGGCAGTGTCAGACAACTGGGTTTGTATCCTAACCCTGCCTCCTGCCAGTGATGTGCTCTTCAGTGAGCTCAGTGTCTCGGAGCCTGTTTCCTCATCTGAACATGGGGTAGCTCAACCATACCACAGGTAACTTGAGGGTTACAATGAGGTACAAAAAGTGCCTGGAGCAAGTAGGTGCTTAGCAAACATTTGTTGTTGAGTCTCTGGCTGCGGCAGGAACGGAGTTGGGTTGTGAGTAATGTGCTCCATTGCAGCAGGCTATGGGGGAAGAGGCATTGAGCCCTGCCCTGCCTCCAGGGGCTCAGAGCTGAGTGGCATCCTTGGAACCATCTTCCAGGAAATGGGCTGTCAGCTCCCCCTCCAAAGTGACAACTGTCTTTGGCCACCTCTGGCCAAGAGGCTTACCATTTCCAGAGTGACCAAATCCCAGCTCTGGCCCAGGGGTGGCAATTCCAGGCTGCCAGGCCTTGTTCCCAGGCCCTGAGTGCCCCTGCTCCTTGTTCCCCCTGCAAGAACTCACACCTTGATTTCCCGAGATCCTCTTCACACCAACGCAGGCATCACACTGCACACCTCTGGCTGGGCTAGACCAGCTCTCCTTTAAAAATAATACGGCAGTGTCCCCTTTCTGCAGAAAGCCTTCCCCTCTAGGGTATAGAGCTATAGGTTGAGGCCACATACTCCCTCCTCCTCAACGCCTCAGGGTCCCCACCCCCTTTCTGATCCTTGATTTTCCCTGAGCTGGATTAAGACCTTTAGCAGCCTTAAGAGCTGAAGGATTAAGGTGTACCTCCCCCACTCACTCACACACAAATTCCAAATAAAATAATCCTAAGCCTTAAAATAAGTGTCAGGAAGTCCAACAAAGTTTTGATTTTCCCCAGGATGACTACTTCCTTGCTATTTTTGAAGTATGAAATATTAGCTCTTAAAAAAGCAAAACCAAACCAAAACACTTTGTTGATGGCCTTTTGCTGCCAGTGGCCTGAGAACACACTTAATCTGCCTACCGGGGAACCTGGCCTTGCCTGCCCCCTCCCTGGTGCCCGAGAAGGAGAGGGCTGGCTTGCAATAGCAGGGCATTGGGCCACTCTGCCCAGAGATGTCCCCAGGGAGAGAGGGAAGCCCTGGGCCAATCAGTCCCCATAGGGGAGGAGACATCAGCAAAGCCCAGAAGGTTCTGCTGCTTCCACCCCTGCCATAGGGCAACCTCTCCTCCCCTCCAGAGCAGCCAGGGTCAATCTGGGCCCCCTTCCAGTTCTGCAGCTGGCAAGGATGGCTGGGCTGTTAGTCCCTGGGCCTGCTGCCCTTCACCCACACCTGTTGGGCAGGTCTCCCTGCCTGGCCAAGGGCTGCCCGAGCCACTCTCCCTCCCACTGTGGGGGAGGGAGCCAGCCAGTGCTGGAACATCTTCCACAAACTGGCTTTTCCAGATCCTGCTTGTAAACTCTGGTTAAAAATAAAACCCTCATGTCTGGGAAGGAGAGGGTAGGAGGGTACAGTGGTGGGGGACAGAGGAGGCAGGCAGAGGGCTATGCATAGGTGACAACAGCCCACCTTAGCAAAATGGTGGGGTATCCCAGCGAACAAGGCTGGCCGGGGAGTACCCTGCATAATTCCGGGTGGGAGGCACCTTCCAGAGCCTTTTGTTTCGCAAAGAGAAAACAGGCCCAGAAAGGGGCAAGCGGTGTCACAAGGTCTCCAGCAAACAAGCACAGGTGGAATGGAGCCTTTGGCCTTGTTCTTGCTGCCACCTTTTCCTCAAGAGCAAGGCATGAGGACAACCCTCTCTTCTTCCCTGCCAAGGATCCCCTACTCGCCAGGAGCGTTTCCCGATCATGTCAGGGCACCTTCGCCATCCCCTGCCCGCCCAGCCCTGCCCATGATCATGTCAGGACGCACCTTCGTCATCCTCTGCTTGCCCGACCCCGCCCACTCTCTTTTTCTGTTTTTCTCCCTCCCAGCGTCCATCAAGCTGTTCTCCCTTTCGCCTCTCCAAGGGAACGGATGTTTATTGAGCATCCAGCTCTGTGCATACTATGCCATTTATTCTTCTTGCCAATAAAGCAAAGCTTTCCTACAATGTTTTCTGAAGGAAATGTCACATTGCAGGGGAGAGAAGGAAAGGCTTTGTGTGTCTGAGTACTTTACAGATGCAGGGTACTCCCCCTACGTGATTTCCAAGCCTCAAAACAGCCCTGCAAAGTATTCTGAGGCCTTCCATAGAGAACAGACCTTGAGGCTGAGAGCCTTAATGAACTGGCTTAAGGCTCAGTCCAGCTGACCCAGGGCTGACCCGTTAGTCTTCCACCCAATCCCTTGCTCCTGCAGCCCCACAAGCTCAAGGACTGAGCTGTCAGTATATGGCACAGCTGCAGCAACTGAGGCAGGGGATCACGAGCCCAGGAAGTAGAGGCTGCAGTAAGCCGTGATCGCACCATTGCACTCAGCCTGGCCAGCAGAGCGAGACCATGTCTCAATCTCATTCCATCCTTCCAGCACCCATCAGTGGATACTAGTGTTCCCCTATTTTACAGAGAAAGGAACTGAGGCACAGGGTAGTTAAGGAACTATGTCTCCCAACCAGGAGGAAGTAGAGCTCGCCTTTGAACCCAGGGTTTTCTGCTGCAGGCCCATGTTCTTAATTACAGTCAGGCCAGGCGCAGTGGCTCAAGCCTGTAATCCCAGCACTTTGGGAGGCCAAGGCGGGTTCATCACAAGGTCAGGAGTTCGAGACCAGCCCTGGCCGACATAGTGAAACCCCATCTCTACTAAAAATACAAAAAAAAAAAAAAATTTAGCCGGGTGTGGTGGCAGGTGCCTGTAATCCCAGCTACTCAGAAGGCTGAAGCAGGAGAATCACTTGAACCTGGAAGAGAGATGTTGTGGTGAGCCAAGATTGTACCCGGGCTGGGCGACAGTGCGAGACTCCATCTCAAAAAAAAAAAAAAAATTATGGCCGAATCTGGACACTCACACGATCCCATCTTCAAGGGATTTAATCCAACCTTCCATCTTTTCTGTCCAGCCTTCTCTGCAGTCTTGGGCGGTGGGCTTCAGGCCAGTTGGCCTGGTGTCTCTCTGGGGAGGGCAAAGGCTGTGGGTTCACATTCTGAAGCTGAGGTCGGGGGTTGGGCTCAAATAGTGTTAACTGACAGCAAAGCTGGTGGAAGGCTTAGGGAGGGAGAAGGTGTGGACGTGGGCTGAGAGTGGTGTGTGAGATTGCTGTTTTTTCTTCTTCTGCCCTTTTTGGAGTTTTAGCTTTGTCCCCGTTGCCCTGGTGGTTTAAGGTTGAATGTTTCTTTCCTAAGCAAGTGCTCCCCCAGAAAAGGCTGTAAAATTCAGAGATGAGGTGTTTGGATTGGATTCGGGCATTGGGATTGGACACAAGGAGGTTCAAATTTTTTCTGTAGGCCAAGTGCAGTGACTCATGCTTGTAATCCGAGCACTTTGGGAAGCCGAGGTGAGAGGATCACTTGTGTCCAGGAGTTCGAGACCAGGGTGGGCAACATAGTGAAACCCCATCTCTACAAAAAATAAAAAATTGGCCGGGTACAGTGCCACACACCTGTAGTCCCAGCAACTCTAGAGACTGAGGCAGGAGGATCACTTGAGCCCAGGGAGTCGAGGCTGCAGTGAGCTGTGATTATGCCACTGCACTCAGCCTGGGCAACACAGTGAGACCCTGTCTCAAAAAACAACAAACAAACAAAAACACACACACACATTTCTTCTGTATAGTGACCCTGGGCAAGTCACTCTGAGCCTTGAATTTCTCTTCTGTCAAGTAGGAAGACCAGTGCCTCCTTGAAAGCATTATAAGGGGGATCAAATGAGACAATAGATGATTCTGAATGGTAAAGTATCTGCAATGTCAATTATGATGCTAATGCCATTGCCTTCCTAAAGGAAAAAATCAATGTGCAGGTTATTGAGGGTCCTAGGGTGAGTGATGGCTGAAGACAAGGAGGCTGCTGGTAAAGGAAATGTTGTCCTGGAGCCCTGATACTCCTGAGCTACGGAGGGAGGATACAGGTGGGTCCGTGAAGTGCTTTACCCAGTGAATTGCTTTACCGGTGCCCTGTTCCTGTGCCTGGGGAGTAGGGCGGTCCCAAAACACCGACCTTGCCTGGGCTGCTGGGGGAGCAGCAGGTGCTCACATTGCCCTAGGGTGGAATGCACCTATTCGCCCTTCCAGAGCACAGGGCCCTAGGGCCTGTGGCCAGAAGACATTCTCTTCTCAGCTGATTCTACTCCAGGGTCTCCGAGAGAGTGGGGGATCTCTGGTCTGTCCGGAAAGCTGACAGGTTGAACCTATCAGGGGGTCTTGTCTCCCATCAACTTGGGTGGCTGTGGGGACATAGGATGTTGGGGGCAGATATGAGGGAACTTCTTGTAAATGGAGCTGGGTGTCCGTGGCTACAGGAGGAGGGGCTGCTACAGGCTGACACAGTCTCCTTGGGTTATGTAACCATTTCCCTTAACCTCCAGCAGTAAATGCATAAATGATGACTTAGTATAGATACCAATTTGGTCATCAAAACCTGGAACTGTCCCTGCCAAACAGGAACTTCCTGCCCCCTCAACTGAGCAGACACCTGGACTATGGGGGAGCAATGCAGAGAAGTAATCAAGTTCTCAGTCAGAAAACCTGGATGCTCCTTGCTTTGTTGTGTCATTTGGTCAATAATAATTGATTCAGCATTGGGAATGTAGTCATAAGTTAAAGTCCTTGTGGCTATGCTCACAACCAGATAGGGGGAGAGTACCAGAAACATACAACTGGCTAATGGAGAGGCAATTGCTTCAGCTTGGACATTTTGGCTTGTGTTTTGTTGAGTAAACACGAATTCACTGAGCAGGGGTGGGAAAATCTCAAGCCTCACTTATCCACAGGTTTAAGATAAGAAACTGCCCCAGCACCGAGTTCATGAGTGCTGGGAGGTGCTCTAAGTTTACAGGACAGCATGACTCAGGAATGAGGCCATTCTGGATTTGATGGTAAATCTCCCTGATACTGTAATTTTGGCCTCTGCCCCACTGGCCAGGCCTCCAGCTCTTCCCTGGGCTCAGGTGGAAGGAAACTTGGCCCAAATCACATTTCTCTCTGATTGAGCCATCCAGCACCTTGCTGGCTAGGCGTGCAGAGGTCAAAGAAGGACAGGGAGTCAATACACAGACTGGAGCCCCTTCCCCCAACCCCCAACTCAGCAGGCAGAGAGGCCCTTGGAGCACAGGGTCTGCATTCCCATTCTCCTGCATTGGCCAACCTCTCTGCAGTTTCCAGCCCTCTGGGCCTGCCCTGACCACGCCTACCAGGCACCTTCCACTGTCTTACCCCACTCTTCCCTGGTCCTGAAACACCCTAGCAGAGGCCTTGACGTGTCACTTTCTGGACCTCTGACTTGGCTCAATGGTTCAGGACCCATGACTTTTTCATGGTCACCTCCAGTCATTCCCTAGATCTTGACCTTGCACGAACAACCTGATTGATTCTGCAGCCATCTTAGGGACTCGCAGATAAGAACTCTTGGACAGCAAAGGCCCACAGCCCCAGGACAATTGTGTGCCCACAGGCAGTCACACAGTTGTTGAACATGGGAGAGCCTGTGTTCACCATTTCCAGGATAAAATGGACCATGGAGTGGGCACACCTGGGCTGTTTACCATCATTGCCCTTCATTCCCTAAACAACAGGGAATGCAGAGCCACGTATGGATTTAGTCTTAGCTGAATTCATATGCATCTCTTTTTGGAAGAGGTAAAAGCATGTCTGATTATCACATGATATCCCCTTTTTTTTTTTTTTTGAGACAGAGTTTCACTCTGTCACCCAGGCTGGAGTGCAGTGGTGCCATCTTGGCTCACTGCAACCTCTACCTCCCAGGTTCAAGCAATTCTCCTGCCTCAGCCTCCTGAGTAGCTGGGATTACAGGCATGTGCCGCCATGCCCAGCTAATTTTTGTATTTTTAGTAGAGATGGGATTTCACCATGTTGGCCAGGCTGGTCTCAAACTCCTGACCTCAGGTGATCCACCTACCTTGGCCTCCCAAAGTGCTGGGATTATAGGTGTGAGCCACCAGGTCCAGCCCAAATGATATCTCTTTTCAAGTTAGTTTCCCCGTGTGGCAAATGAGAGTGGGGCTTAATCACCTGTTTCACCAAAGGGCCATGTAGGAGATGATGGAATTGGGAGGACTGCCTGGTCCACAGAAGGTTTGCGTCCTGATACCAGCCCCTGCTCTTCCAGCCCCCACCATCCTCTGCTGCAGAGAAATGGGCTCAGTGCCCACCATAGCAGGCCTGTCCAGAGGGGTGAAGTCCAGCGGACAATACCATCACGATCACTCTGCCCTGCACTCATCTCTGACCCGCCTGCCTCCCCTGCTCTCTACAGCTAGGGAGTGGCTCTTTGGAATAAAGAATATTTACTTTTCTTTGAGACTTCAGTTCTGAATATGATCCGAATGCTGTTTGCATGTTTCTGGCTCCCCTTCTAGAATGTCTTGTGTGACACCGAGTGCCAGTGCAGGAATAGTGCCTGGAACAGAGGAGAATGTTTGTTAACTGACTGACTGCCTTGCAGATTAAATGAATGATCGAGGACTGCAGCTGAGGTGGGGCATAGGCAGGGGCAGGTGCTCATCCTAGGAGGGAGGAGGGAGGCAAGAGAGATCTCTCATTTCAATTTCTGGGGATGATTAGACGGCTGTGTTTTGGTCTTCTACAGAAAAATAATCGCAAACATCTACATTGTGTCAGCCACTGTCCTAAGTATTTTACATACATTAATGTATTGAATCATCATAAAAACCATGTGTATGGCGGGTGCTATCATCATCATCATCCCCATTTTATAGGCTGAGATTCTGAAGCACAGAGAGGTTAAGTGATCTAGCCAAGGTCACACAGCTAATAACTGCCAGAGTCAGGATGTAAACCCAAATCCCTGCTCTTATCTTTCCCCCATAGAGTTATATGCCATATTCTTACCCCATAGACTGCTCCCATAGCTCTTTAACCTATGGGGTGTTTGTGCCCTCGGGGTCCCTGGGATGAGCCAGAGGGTTTTTGAGACTCAACTTTCAGGAAGATCAATTTTAAGCAAAGATTTCAGAAAAAAAGTTAACTGTTGAATTATAAGTAATTTGAGATGATTGACATATATGTTATAGTGAATAATGCCAAAAGTCAAGTTAATTTTTAAGACAAAAAAGATGGCCAGATGCAGTGGCTCCTACCTCCCGGCACTTTGGGAGGCTGAGGCAGGAGGATCGCTGGAAGCCACAATTTTGAGACCAGCCTGGGCAACATAGCGAGAGACTGTCTCTACAAAAAAAGAAAAAAAAATTAGACAGACAAGGTGGCGTGCACCTCTAGTCCTAGCTACTGGGAAGGCTAAAGTGGGAGGATCTCTTGAGCCTGGGAGTTCCAGGCTTGCAGTGAACTACAGTTACACCACTGCACTCCAGCTGGGGTGGTAGAGCAAGAACCCCGTCTATTTTTTTGAGACAGAGTTTCACTCTTGTTGCCCAGGCTGGAGTGCAATGGTGCAATCTTGGCTCACTGCAACGTCCGCCTCCTGGGTTCAAGTGATTCTCCTGGCTCAGCCTCCCGAGTAGCTGGGATTACAGGCATGCACCACCACACCTGTTTAATTTTGTATTTTCTTTTTTAGTAGAGATGGGGTTTCTCCATGTTGGTCAGGCTGGTCTTGAACTCCTGACCTCAGGTGACCCTCGGCTGCCTCGGTCTCCCAAAGTGCTGGGATTACAGGCGTGAGCCATCGCGCCCGGCCAAGACCCTGTCTCAAGAAAAAAAAAAAAAAAAGGAGAGCGATTTCCAAGAAATTTGCAGGGTTTCTGTCCCCAGGCCCAACCCCACCGTCAGCCCAGGGTAAGCTGCCATTGTTCGTGAATACCACTCATTCAGCACAAGAAGTGCGCGCACACACATACACACACACACAAATACACACTGCCTACCCCCCTGACTGTCTGGATGGAGTGAGTTGTGGGCCACGTCAAGGCAGGGCTGCAGTGGGAAGTGCTGCTTTCTGATGATTGCGGGCCTGGGGGTGGAGGGCTGGGCAGGGAGAGAGGCTGGGCCTTGGGTCTCCATGGGAGCTTGCATGGGGCTCAGAGTTTCCATTGGCGCCTGTGGGATGGGGTAACAGAGGGACTGGCCCGTAGAAAACTGCGAGACAACGAAACAGGAGGGAGGAGGAACTTCACCTCTGCACCATGAAATACCGCACCCGGGGCCTTTCGTGGAATTTGCAGAGCGCATCCTTAGATGCTCCTCACTGCAGGGGGAGAGGCATGTCCCATGGCCAATGTTTCCTGTGTGTCTGTGTATGTCAAGCCCAGGGATACGTGTCGTCCGGGCCACGTGCCACAAAATGGGTCCCACTTGGGGAGGCAATGCCCGTGGGACTCTTACAGGCAGAGCAAGATGAATGTGAGCTGACACTTCTGCCAGTGAGCGACAAAGAGCCGGTGTGCCTCCACAGAGGACAGGCCTGCTCATTAATGTGGCAGCGTCTTCATTGACAAAGCAAAGAGGCAAACAAGGCGGAAGGGAGTGAGCCACGCAGGGAGACAGTGGTGGCGTGGAAGGAAAAGGGCAGGCGTGTGCAAGTGTGTCTGCAGGGATAGGAGGGGCCCGGGCAGGGCGAGCTGAGCGGGAGGAAGAGGCTGGACAGAAATGTCTGCATCTGTGAGGAAATGTATGCGTGAGAGAGAAAGAAAACGTGAGAGGCTGTGTCTGAGAGGGAACGTAGCGCTGCGAAGTGTGTGCGTGACGACAGAGGAGAAGACAGAGGGAGCCAGGAAGGGAGGGAGGCGGCAGGGGGGGAGGCCTCTCCTCCCTCCTTCAGCCACAGGCTCTGGAAGGCCCTGCGGTGTGGACTGAGGGACAGGCAGGAGAGGTGAGATTTCATTACCTTTCCCTTTGTGTGACAGTTTCGAGTTAGAGATGTAAGACTGGAGCTATAAATAATCCAGTCACAGCTGCATCCTGGAGATTTATGGTGCATGCCAATGCCAGCCAGCTTCAGGCTGGGGAGGGGTTGGGTTTGCTTCACACAGCCAAGATGAAAGGCTGATTCCCCCCAACTAGCTCCCCCCAGCCCCAGCTGGCCCCCACCCACCCCTGTGCCTCCCTCCTGGCCCAAGGGGCCCAGAGGGGAGAAAACCTCACAGATGCTTAGACACCCTCTCTAGTCCTGAGCAGCCGGAGCCCCATGAAACCTGGCATAGTGGTGGCTCTGCTAGCTGGGGAGACCAATGGGGCAGGGGGAGCAAGGTGGGCAGAAGGTGCCTTACCAGGGCGGGCGCGCTGCCTCATGCCTGTAATCCCAGCACTTTGGGAGGCCAAGGAGGGAGGATCACTTGAGGTCAGGAGTTCGAGATCAGCCTGGCCAACATGGTGAAAACCCGTCTCTACTAAAAATACAAAAGTCAGCTGAGCATGGTGGCGTGCGCCTGTAATTCCAGCAACTCGGGAGGCTGAGGCAGGAGAATTGCTAGAACCTGGGAGGCAGAGGTTGCAGTGAGCTGAGATTGTTCCACTGCACTCCAGCTTGGGCAACAAAGTGAGACTCTGTCTCAAAAGAAAAAAGAAAGAAGGTGCCTTAGACAAGGGGCAGGCCTGGCTGGGCCTGGCAGGGCCTACAGGTGACCCAGACTATTCAGGCTTGATGAGGTCCCAAGGGGCCATGACCCTCGCCCCCGCCCCACCATTCCTATTCTTCTCAATGGGCTGGAACCCTGTTCCAAGCCTCAGCTGCAACGACTGCCAAGATGGGCTTGGTGCAAGACTCTGTGTGGGACTAGGGGGTCCTCCCAACCCAGGAGAGGGTGGCTGCACATCCCGTTGGCCTGGGGAACAGCCCATTCCCCAACTATGCAGCCAGTGCATCTGGGACAGTGGGAGAGTCACCTCCATGGATCTGTCTCCAGCGCTGCTGTGAGGGTGGAGGAGGAGGCGAGCGGAGGCATCTGGGGAACCCAGACATTGGCTTCTCCTCAGGTTCTGTGGGAGCTGGAGGAAGAGGATGAGGGTGGGGGTCTCAGGAAGAGGAGCTGGTTCCAGGCACCCCTGCTATGCCTGTGCCTCTCTGCAGTTTTCCACCAGAACAGGTATCCACCTGTGGCCCCCTCAAGCCCTAAGCTTTTGAGGGCAAAGAGCATGCAAGCTTCGCTCTCCCTGCAACCTGGGGACTGTGCGTCAATGTTTGCAGAACAGTCAGGTCCTGGTGCTGGAGTGCACCCTCCCATGGGCTGAGCCCACAGAAGGAGTTTCCTGAGAGAGAGGTGGCCAGGCCCGCCTGGGTCTGCCTCCTGGGGACTGAGGATCTCCTGAACTTCCCACCCTCCTCTCCTCCCTCTTTGGGAACCCCCAGGGCCTGCTAGGGCCCAGCTGTATCAGGCAGCAGCTGCCACCTCAGCAGTTTCTGCTTTGCTTTTCTTCTCATTCCCTGAGCAATATTGAACATCCAGAGAGACAACCAAATCCTGGGTATCTGGGTGGTGATGGAGGCAGTAGCTCAGCTGGTTACTCCTTGGGCAGCTCAGCCAAGACAATCCATACCTCAGGCCAGGCCTCTGGCGGAGGGAGGATGCTGGGAGGCTGGGCCCTTCCTTCAGAAGACTTCTCTGGGGATGGGGGTTCGTGGGATGCCCGGGGCCTCCAGAGCACTCACAGGTTGGTTGTGGCAGGGTCTTTTCTTGGGTGAGGAGGGCAGTCTGTTCTCCTTCAGCCTCCAAAAGTAAACTCTCTGGGACGGGGGTACACACAATAGGATTTCTCCTTCAGGGGGCTCAGAGGCAGCTCAGCCAAAGACACAAAGCAAGCTTGCCCAGTTCAGTGCATGGCAGAGCCACAGGGTTCAGCAGGGGATCTGGAGGCTCTAAGGACCTACCTGACTGCAACTTGGATGCCTCTTCCCCTTCTGCATTTCTGGTGCACCTGTCAGGGGACCACCTTCCGCCATAAGCATTGTCTATCTGTCCTGGGTGTTTGTATCAGTCAGAGTTCTCTTTGAAAGCAAGAGAAATGGACTCTGATGCTCTTAAGCAGAGAAAAGATTTACAGAAAAGATTTGGGGTGCTCATGGCATCCACAGAAAGGCTGGAGCCCCAGCTTGGAAAATGCCTTAAGGGATGCGGGGCAGTCGGCATCACTGCCAAGGTCATGCCACAGGGTGGTCTGTTTAGGATACCTTTGCTGTCACCACCTCTGTGCCTTCCATGGGTCTCACTGCAGCCTCTCTGTGGCCTCTCTGCCACAGCCCCTGCCTCTGCCAGGAATATCTGACCCTGTGGGTCTGAGCTACTTCCTTTTTTTTTTTTTTTTTTTTTTTTTTTTTGAGATGGAGTCTTGCTCTGTTGCCTAGGCTAGAGTGCAGTGGCATGATCTTGGCTCACTGCAATCTCCACCTTTCAGGTTCAAGCAATTCTCCTACCTCAGCCTCCTGAGTAGCTGGGATTACAGACACACGCCACCAGTCCCAGCTAATTTTTGTATTTTTAGTAGAGACGGGGCTTCACCATGTTGGCCAGGCTGGTCTTAACTCCTGACCTCGGGTGATCCGCCTACCTCAGCCTCCCAAAGTGCTGGGATTATAGGTGTGAGCCACTGCCTGGCCCTGAGCTACTCCTGTAAGACTGCATTCCCGGGGGAATTTCTGAATGACTGAGTCTAGGTCATGAGCCCACATCCTGGCTGCCAGCAAGTAGAGGGAGAGAGAATCTCCAGCTTTGATTTCTGTGATTTGATTTCTGTGATTTGATTTGATTTATTCCATAAATACCCCTCAGGAAGGGACATTCCCATCCCCAGCTCCCAAACAGAATAGGAGCATTCTGGATGGCCTTCCCAATTGGTGCCTCCAGACTTCATCCCTCTCACCCTCCCCCACTCTGAAGTCCAGGAGGCTGATCTGTATGGGCTGCATCAGCTGAACTCTCATGCTTC
This sequence comes from Homo sapiens, assembly GCF_000001405.40. NCBI lineage: Eukaryota > Metazoa > Chordata > Mammalia > Primates > Hominidae > Homo > Homo sapiens. The sequence continues at coordinate 76,997,444 of NC_000014.9, read as the reverse complement.
CTGGCTTCTGGCTGGGTTTGCCCAATGGGCGGCACCACTGGAGAAGAATGGAGGTGGGAGGTGGGAGGTGGGAGGGGAGAGGGTGGGGTATTGTTCCCCTTGCTCCTTTCCTTTGCAGCTTTGGGTCTCTCCAGCATCCAGTCACTCTGTCCCTGTCCCACCAGGTCTTCATCATTTTTTGTTGGTTTCCCTTTGTGCTGCCCACCTTTACAACTTGTCCCTTCTTGAAAGATCCTTCAATTGCCCTATTTTAGGGTAACATCTGTTTTCTGCTGGGACCCCAGAATTATACAGGAGGGTTTAACAGTGAGAAGCAACAAAGCTCCAATGAATGCCCACAACATGGTGGAACAGATGCCCATTGGAAGCTGGCAGCATGATAAATGCTCAAGAGCAAGGAATTGGAAGCCAGGCCTAGGAAGGTCTAAATTCTTAGCCCAGCTCTTACTACCTGTGTGAACTTGGCTGAATTCCTCAACCATGCTGAGTTTTTGTTCTTTTTCAGAAGTAAAAGTTAATCCTTAACTCAGGGATAGGTTGTGCCATGGATTTATTAAGCACTTGACACTTAGGAGACCAGTGATCCACTTATGTGGATCCCAAGCTATCAGTAATGGCTCTTGGGAGCACTGTGTTGAGAATTCCGACACCTTGTTCTGGCCTGGAGGTGATGGGTGCACTCGTGATTGATTAGTGATGTTTGTCCCAGTGCAGCCTGGGCAGCAGCATTACTCAATAATAGCTATGCCTTTTTATATTTTTTTGCTCCTTGGGAAGGGAAGCAGGATTCTGCTGGGGTCAAAAAGGCCAGGATCCATTCCCATCAGCACTGCCCAGGTCCTGAGTCATGGAGTCACCTCTCCTGGTTCAGCACAGGCTTCTAGGCAGGGTGGATGCCTGGCAAGCCCTCTCTTTTAATCAGCAAACTGCTTTAGCCCTATTTAGATTGTTTCAATGTCTTTCTGCTGTGACCTCTGTTCATTTCAATCCCCAAATGCCTAGTCTGATCCTCCCTGCCAGCACAGGTACACCACACAGATGCACGCACACCCAATCCCGCGTTCACATAGTAACTCGAATCTCATATAGTAACTTGAATTTCTCAACTCCATGTTACGCCACTCCCCAAGCCTCCCCCATTATCTCCTGCCCCACCTCAGGGGGCCTGATATTATTCCAGCGACACACACCAGAGTTGGCTGAAGGTAGAAGAGATAGAAGAGAAACCATGCCATAGGCGTCCTATGACGAGTGCTGGAGTCTTGGTGATCAGCAGGTGGTCCCTGGGGCAACCAAGAAGATGGGAGTGACCAAGGAATCCTTCCCCGCAAATCCTCCTTTCTAGTTTTAGTTGCACAAAGGAGCGACCTTCATTTAGTTAAGAAACATTTATTGAGTACCTGCCATGTGCCAGGCAGCAAGTGCAGGAAATAGACGTGCTCTCTGTTGTGAAGGGCAGACAGGCATAACCCAGTGCAGTAAAGTGCTAAGTGGAGGCAAGCACAGGGGGACCTCTGATTGGGGTGGCATGGTGGGACAATCAGGGAGGACTTTCCTGAGGAGGTGGCTCCTAAGCTGAGACAGGAAGGATAAGGAAGCTGTTCCAGGTGGTGTGGTAAGGGCAGCATATGCCAAGATTCTGAAGGTGTGTGTTTGAAGAGCTGCTGGTTGCTGGCAGCACCATGGCTGGGGCTCAGAGCTGGAAGGGAGGAGATACTGGAGCAGAACTGGCTGGGGGCTGGGGGAGTACAGGGGACAGGTCCTACAGGGCCTTGAAAAGGGGCCTGGATTTTCCCAAAGCAGCACCCACCCCACCCCAGCCTGTCCTCTCCCTGCTTCGGCAAGTGAGGCCCTGAAAGGACAGACCTTCCAATCTCCTCCTTTCTGTGAGCTGTGGGGCTTCCCAGGCAGTTGGGGGCAGATTCCCACCTTCCCTACCCCCCTCAACCCTTCACGCCCTGTAAGTCATCAGGAGAATAGTGAAAGCTGACTCAGGCAGTGGCGGGTGAGCAGGTGGGTGGCAGTGGCTGAGTGAAGAGGAGCTGCAGAGCAGGCCCCCCACCCCCAACCTGCTGAATGAAGGCTTTAGTGTAGTCCCCATAATAACTGGCAGGCCCAACCATCAGGTGCAATATAGAGTAAAATAGGTGTTCAGGCATTGTATTTCTCCAATGACTAAGTAGCTGTTACCTCTTCCTCTCATTAACCCCCTAGCCCCTTTTTCCCAGCCACCTCCCACACTCAGACTTGCTTCCCTTTGGAAAATGGGAAATGATATGTCTATGAAGCAAAGTGTGGCTCTGTGTGTATGTGTATAGCTATATGTGTGTGTGCATGAAAGTATTTCATGTATATGTGAGGAAGTATATAAAAGGAATATAGGGGCCGGGTGCAGTGGCTCACACGTGTAATCCCAGCACTCTGGGAGGCCGAGGCGAGCTGATCACCTGAGGTCAGGAGTTTGAGACCAGCCTGGCCAACATGGTGGAAACTCTGTCTCTACTAAAAATACAAAAATTAACCAGGTGTGATGATGGGCGCCTGTAGTCCCAGCTACTTGGGAGGCTGAGGCAGGAGAATCGCTTGAACCAGGGAGGCAGAGGTTGCAGTGAGATGAGATCATGCCACTGCACCCCAGCCTAGGCAATAGAATACTTCATCTAAAAAAAATAAATAAATAAAATAAAATAAAAGGAATATATATACTTATGTGTGCATGAAAATATTTCTGTTGATGCCATGCATGGGAGCACATGTGCATGAAACATGCATGGTGCTGTGTGTTTAAGTAGGCGTGTCAGGAACATGGAGGCACACATGTGCACAGGTGTGCAGGAGAGTGTGGGTGGTTACGAGTCGAGGGGACATGAGGCACATGTGTGTGTTTGCAGTGAGTGTGCATGTGACTATCACTCCAGCTACTGTGACAGTGATTGTCTTTGCAGGAGAGAAGTTGTTGGGCTGGGATATTCCTATTAACCAAAGCAATAAAACACCCAACTGGTCTGGCTGCCTCCCCTCTTGCTTCTTTGTAATTCATTCTCCACCTAGCAGCCAGTGAGAGCATTTAAAAATGCAAATCAGGGCCAGGCGCGGTGACTCATGCCTGTAATCCCAGCACTTTGGGAGGCCAAGGCGGGCAGATCACCTGAGATCGGGAGTTCGAGACCAGCCTGACCAATATGGAGAAACCCTGTCTCTACTAAAAATACAAAATTAGCCGGGCATGGTGGCACATGCCTGTAATCTCAGCTACTCAGGAGGCTGAGGCAGGAGAATCGCTTGAACCTGGGAAGCGGAGGTTGCGGTGAGTCGAGATCGCACCATTGCACTCCAGCCCAGGCAACAAGAGTGAAACTCTGTCTCAAAAAAAAAAAAAAAAAAATGCAAATCAGATTATGTCACTCTAAGGCTGAAAACACTCCAGTGGCTTCCCATTGCATCTGGAATAAATCAAACTTGTGACAGTGGCCTGCAGGATGTGCCTCCACTTTGAAGCTTTGCTGTCTGTTCTCCTCTCACTCTCTGGGCGGGCACGCCATGCCTCAGCCAGACATCAAGAGCCTTCATACCTGCTGTTTCCTCTCTTGGACTCCTTTGCTGTTGGGTGGTGTCCTGCCCTCAGGTTTCAGCTCAACATGATGGCATCATCAGTGGGGGCATCCCTGACCCCCAGGTTTAAATTGGCACCCCCAGCCAGGCGCGGTGGCTCATGCCTGTAATCCCAGCACTTTGGGACGCCAAGACAGGTGGATCACTTAAGGTCAGGAGTTCGAGAGCAGCCTGGCCAACATGGTGAAATCCTGTCTCTACTAAAAATACAAAAATTATCTGGGCCTGGTGGTGCATGCTTGTAATCCCAGCTACTCGGGAGGATGAGCCAGGAAAAACATTTGAACCCACGAGGTGGAGTTTGCAGTAAGCCAAGATTTCACCACTGCACTCTAGCCTGGGCGACAGAGCAAGACTCAATCTCAAATAATAATAATAATAATAATAATAATAATAATAATAATAATAATAAATAGGCCGGGCGCGGTGGTTCACGCCTTTAATCCCAGTACTTTGGGAGGCCGAGGCAGGCAGATCATGAGGTCAGGAGTTCAAGACCAGCCTGGCCAACATGGTGAAAACCTGCCTCTACTAAAAATACAAAAATTAGCTGGGCATGGTGGTGCGTGACTGTAATCCCAGCTACTAGGGAAGCTGAGGCAGGAGAATTGCTTGAACCGGGACCCGGGACGCGGAGGTTGCAGTGAGCCAAGATCGCGCCACTGCACTCCAGCCTGGGCTACAGAGGGAGACTCTGTCTCAAAAATAAATAAATAAATAAATAAATAAATAAAATAATAAAAGCAAATAAATAAATAAATAAATAGGCCGGGTGCAGTGGCTCACGCCCATAATCTTAGCACTTTGGGAGGCTGAGGTGAGTGGATCACCTAAGGTCAGGAGTTCAAGACCAGCCTGGCCAACATGGTGAAACTCCGTCTCTACTAAAAGTACAAAAATTAGCCGGGCATGGTGGCGGGCACCTGTAATCTCAGCTACTAGGGAGGCTGAGGCAGGAGAATTGCTGGAACCCGGGAGGTGGAGGTTTCAGTGAGCTGAGATTGCACCATTGTACTCCAGCCGGGGCCGACAACAGCGAGACTCAGTCTCAAAAAATAAAAATAAATAAATAAAATAAAATAAATAAAGTGGCACCCCCAATCCATGTCCATCCTATCACTCCGACTTAGTTCCTCCCCAGCACTAGGTCCCTTAGGTCTGAAGCTGGCACTGAGATGGAGTTAGGAGTGCATAGGGCTCAGTGGGGAGTGGCCCCTATGACATGAACAGGGAGGATGCCGGATTGGGTAGGGGAGCAATCAGACCATGGTGCAGATCTGACAAGGTCTCTGCTGGCCCAACAGGAGGAGTCCTGAGTTAAGTAGAAATGGCTGGACTCTGTATAATAGTCTGGCTCAATCAGGGACTGGAACCATCCACTCAAATAAAAAGGGGAGTCACAGACTGAGAGAAAATATTCAAAAGACATATTTGATAAAGGACTGTCATCCGAGATAGACACAGAACTTGGGCCAGATGCAGTAGCTCACACCTGTAATCTCAGCACTTTGGAAGGCTGAGGCGGGAGGATTGCTTGAGCCCAGGAGTTGGAGACCAGCCTGGGTAACAGTGAGACCCTTTGTCTACAAAAAATTTTAAAAATTAGCTGGGTATGGTGGCGCTGGCCTGTAGTACCAGCTACTTGAAAGCTGAGACAGGAGGATCACTTGAGCGGGGGAGGTCGAGGCTGCAGTGAGCCAGGGTTTTACTACTGCACTCGAGCCTGGGTGACAGTGACACCCTGGCTCAAAAAAAAAATAAAATTATATATACACACAATGAACTCTTAAAACTTAACAATAAGAAAACAAACAACCAGATTTAAAAAATGAGCAAAAGACCCAAAGAAGATACCTTACTAAAGGAGATATATAGATAGCAAGTAAGCATATGAAAAGATGTTCAACATCATATATCTTTTTTTTTTTTTTTTTTAGATGGAGTTTTGCTCTCTCACCCAGGTTGGAGTGCAATGGCACGATCTTGGCTCACTGCAACCTCTGCCTCCTGGGTTCAAGCGATTCTCCTGCCTCGGCCTTGTAAGTAGCTGGAATTACAGGCACCCGCCATCATGCCTGGCTAATTTTTTGTAGAGACAGGGTTTTACCATCTTGGCCAGGCTGGTCTTGAACTCCTGACCTCTGGTGATCCGCCCGCCTTGGCCTCCCGAAGTGCTGGGATTACAGGTGTGAGCCACCACACCCAGCAACGTCATATATCTTTAGGGAAGTGCAAATTAAAACAACACTGGGATTCTACCACACATCTGTTAGAATATCCACAATCCAGGACACTGACAGCACCAAATGCTGGTGAAGATGTGGAGCAACAGGAACTCTCACTCATTGCAGTGGGAATGCAAAATGGTACATTTGAAGACAGTGTGGCAATTCCTTTCTCTTTTTTTCTTGAGACAGGGTCTCACTCTGTTGCCCAGGTTGGAGTGCAGTGGCACGATCTCAGCCCACTGCAACCTCCATCTCCTGGGTTCAAGTGATTCTCCTGCCTCAGCCTCCCTAGTAGCTGGGATTACAGGCACGCACCACAGCACCTGGCTAATTTTTGTATTTTTAGTAGAGGTGGGGTTTCACTATATTGGCCAGGCTGGTCTCAAATTCCTGACCTCAAGTGATCCACCCACCTCAGCCTCCCAAAGTGCTGGGATTACAGGTGTGAGCCACCACACCCAGCCTCAAGTTCGGCAATTTCTTTCTTTCTTTTTTTTTTTTTTTTTGAGATGGAGTTTTGCTGTTGTTGCCCAGGCTAGAGTGCAATGGCATGATCTTGGCTCACCGCAACCTCCACCTCCCGGGTTCAAGCAGTTCTCCTGCCTCAGCCTCCCGAGTAGCTGGGATTACAGGCATGCACCACCACCCCGGCTAATTTTGTATTTTTAGCTGAGACAGGGTTTCTCCATGTTGGTTAGGCTGGTCTTGAACTCCCAACCTCAGGTGATCCACCCGCCTTGGCCTCCCAAAGTGCTGGGATTACAGGTGTGAACCATTGCGCCCGGCTAGGTTCAGCAATTTCTTACAAAACTAAACATACTTTTACTATATGATCTGGCAATCATGCTCCTTGGTAGTTACTCAAATAAACTTAAGTTCACACAAAAACCAGCACACGAATGCTTATAGCAGCTTTATTAATAATTGACAAAACTTGGATGCAACCAAGATATCCTTCAGTAGGTGAATGAGTGAATGAACTGTGGGACATCCAGACAATAGGATATTATTTGGGGCCAAAAAGAATTTCACTACCAAGTTATGAAAAAACATGGAGAAATCTTAAAAGCATATTGCTAGTCTGGGCATGATGTCTCACACCTGTAATTCCAGCACTTTGGGAGGCCAAGGCAGGAGGATTGCTAGAGCCCAGGAATTCTAGGCTGTATATGATTGTGCCACTGTACTTCACCCTGGGTGACAGAGAAGAAAGAAAGAGAAAGAAAAGAAAGAGAGAGAGAAAGAGAAAAAGAAAGAGAAAGAAAAGAAAAGAAAGAGAGAGAGAGGAAGGAAGGGAGAGAGAGAAAGGAGGGATGGAGGGAGGGAAGGAAAGAATGGAGAGAGAAAGAGAGGAGGAGAGGAAGAGAGAGAAAGAGAGAGAAAGGAGAAGAGGAAGAGAGTGAGAAAGAAAGAAAAAAGAGAAAGAAAGAGAGAAAGAAAGAAGCATATTATTAAGTGAAAGAGGCCAATCTCTTTTTTGAGATGGAGTGTAGCTCTGTTGCCCAGGCTGGAGTGCAGTGGCATGATCTCGGCTCACTGCAACCTCCACCTCCCAGGTTCAAGCGATTCTCCTGCCTCAGCCTCCCTAGTAGCTGGGATTACAAGCGCCCGCCACCACGCCCGGCTAATTTTTGTGTTTTTAGTAGAGACAGGGTTTCACAGTGTTGGCCAGGCTGGTCTCGAACTCCTGACCTTGTGATCTGCCCGCCTCGGCCTCCCAAAGTGCTGGGATTACAAGCATGAGCCACCGAGCCTGGCCAGGCCAAAGAAGCCAATCTTAAAAGGCTACCTACTGAATGATTCCAACTATATGACATTCTGGAAAAGGCAAAACTATGGAGACAGCAAAAAGATCAGTTAGAGCAATGAAACTATTCTGTAGGATACTATGATGATGGATACAAGCCATTGTACATTTGTCCAAACACATACAATGTACTACACCAAGAGTGAACCCCAATGTAAACTATGGACCTCACTGATGATGATGCATCCGTGTAGGTTCACAAATCATAACAAATGCACCCCTCTGGTCAGGGATGTTGATAATGGCATGGTGGAGGCGATGCACGTGTGGGGACAGGGGGTATATAGGAAATCCATGTACTTTCTTCTTAATTTTGCCAGATTGCTCTAAAAGATGAAGTCCATTAAAAAAAAAAAAAAAAGAGGCTGGGCTGGGCACAGTGGCTCACGCCTGTAATCCCAATACTTTGGGAGGCCAAGGCGGGCAGATCACCTGAGGTCGGGAGTTCAAGACTCACCTGACCAACACGGAGAAACCCCATCTGTACTAAAAATACAAAATTAGCTGGGCATGGTGGTGCGTGCCTGTAATCCCAGCTACTCGGGAGGCTGAGGCAGGAGAATCGCTTAAATCCAGGAGGCGGAGGTTGTGGTGAGCCAAGATCATGCTGTTCCACTGCAGTCTGGGCAACAAGAGTGAAACTCCGTCTCAAAAAAAAAAAAAAAAAAAAAAAAAAAAGAGGTCAGGCACAGTGGCTCATGCCTGTAATCCCAGCACTTTGGGAGGCCGAAATGGGTGGATCGCTTGAAGCCAGGAGTTTGACGCTAGCCTGAGCAACATGGCAAAGCCCCGCCTCTACAAGAAATACAAACATTAGCCGGGCATGGTGCTGTATGCCTATAGTCCCAGCTACCTGGGAGGCTGAGGTGGGAGGATGGCTTGAGCCCAGGAGGCAGAGGTTGCAGTGAGCAGAGATTGTGTCACTGCATTCCAGCCTGGGTGACAGAGAGAGACCCTGTCTCAAAAATAAAATAAATTCAATTAAAAAATAAAAGAAAGGCCGGGCGCGGTGGCTCACACCTGTAATCCCAGCACTTTGGGAGGCAGAGGCGGGCGGATCACGAGGTCAGGAGATCAAGACCATCCTGGCTAACACAGTGAAACCCCGTCTCTACTAAAAATACAAAAAAATTAGCTGGGCATGGTGGCGGGCGCCTGTAGTCCCAGCTACTCGGGAGGCTGAGGCAGGAGAATGGCCTGAATCCGGGAGGCGGAGCTTGCAGTGAGCCGAGATTGTGCCACTGCACTCCAGCCTGGGCGACAGAGAGAGACTCCGTCTCAAAAAAAAAATAAATAAATAAAATAAAAGAAATAAAAGAAAAGAAAAGAAGAGAAGGGAAGAGAAAAGAAAAAAGAAAAGAAAAGCTTATATTCCTTCAGGACTCCCTTTCCTTCTCTCCTCACGGACATTCTTCTGCTGCCCAGGTGTTGTGACTTCCCCTCAGGGGAATGTGTTTGCTAGGTCTGCCTGTCCTTTTCTCCTCTGGATTGGCTGAATCCTATGTTAACAATTTTCCAGTTTAGGGGCTGGCCTGGCTGGAAGCTCCTGGATCTCTGTGGCTCCTCTGCCCTCCCTGCAGCTCTCTACCCTACCTTCCTGTGGCCCACTGTCCTTCTGGAAAGAATTTCATAAACAAATGACAGCCACTGTAAGCCCTGTCCTGGTATAAATATGTACCCTGACACCCAACTGGGGAGATGGAAATTCAAGATTGGTGAGAGAAGAAGAAAATCCTGAGTAACTCATTAGCACCACCTCCAACCAAGCTTAATCTTGCCTCCTTTGGTGTCAGACAGCGGCAAGACGAAAAACATCTTCCCTCCTCGCCCTCCAGGGATGAAGCTGTCACACAGAACAGACTTGAGGGGGGCCCACCAACTGTGCGCCCCACTTCCATTTCCCAGGTCTTGATTAAGACTTTTAAAGGCAGTTAGCTCTGAAAAGATTAGGGCATCTCCACCCCCATGAATAGTACAAAATGAAATCAATATTAAGCCACAAAATAAGTGTGAGGAAGCCCTTCAACATTTTGAATTTTCCCATGATGACAGCTTTGAAGTTGTTTATTTTTTGAAATATCAAATATGAAATTCTTGGTTTTCTTTTTTTGAGATGGAGTCTTGCTCTGTTGCCCAGGCTGGAGTGCAGTGGCGCGATCTCGGCTCATAGCAAGCTCTGCCTCCCGGGTTCACACCATTCTCCTGCCTCAGTCTCCTGAGTAGCTGGGACTACAGGCGCCCGCCACCACGCCCGGCTAATTTTTGTATTTTTTTTTTTAGAGACGGGGTTTCACCGTGTTAGCCAGGATGGTCTCGATCTCCTGACCTCGTGATCCGCCCGCCTCGGCCTCCCAAAGTGCTGCGATTACAGGCGTGAGCCACCGCACCCGACCTCAATATGAAATTGTTTTTTTTTTTTTTTTTTTGAGGCGGAGTCTGGCTCTGTCGCCCAGGCTGGAGTGCAGTGGCGAGATCTCAGCTCACTGCAAGCTCCGCCTCCCGGGTTCACTCCATTCTCCTGCCTCAGCCTCCCGAGTAGCTGGGACTACAGGCGCCCGCCACTACGCCCGGCTAATTTTTTGTATTTTTAGTAGAGACGGGGTTTCACTATGTTAGCCAGGATGATCTCCATCTCCTGACCTTGTGATCTGCCCACCTCGGCCTCCCAAAGTGCTGGGATTACAGGCGTGAGCCACCGTACCCAGCCAATATGAAATTCTTAAATGATTTTCTCCTTCGCTGGCTTCCTTCCTGTGGGTTTTGTTTGCATGTTGCTCTTATCTGTGATCAGCCCTCACCCCCAGCTGGCCTTCCTGCCTCCACCAGGCCTGCCCTGGTGCTGGACGTGAGGAGGGTGGTTCTAGGGCTGAGCTTGAGGACCCCAGGGGGTCCTTTCATGGAAACTGGCCTGGCGTGCAGAGGGGAGGGTCGCAGAGTCAAGTCCCCTCTCACCAAGGTTAGTGGGCTTGCTGAATAGTCCAGGGTATACCAGCTTAGGGCTGATCAGGGCTGAGCTGAGCAGGGAGGGCAGAGTCCTGGGTGGCTATCAAACTTGAATCAAATCAACAGACAGCTACTGCGGTCCATGTTGTAGGCAAAAAACAAGTTGGCTTGGACGGGAAGGCCAGTACTGGGGTCTTATTATCTGGTGGCCTTGGGCTCTTCTGACCTGTGGGTGGCTCAGATGGTGGAACAGAATGGTCAAGAACCCACTTGGATGCTGCCCATCAGCTCAGGTACATTACTGTCTATAAGGACAGGAGGATCACCCGCATTACAAATAGGCAAACTGAAGCCAGGGCCCATGCCCAGTGATGGAAGAGCTGGATCTGTCTGTCTGGCTCGGTCTGGAGATTTTGCTCACAGTAAGCCTCCAGGGTCCAGAGCCTGGGGCTCCTCACTCATGAGTTTTATCATTGTCTGGCACCTTCTGTTGCTGGAGGGAGAGGTGAGAGGCCTACAGGCATTTTTGTCCTGTCTGCATATTTGGTCCACTATGTGTTGGGCGTTCGCAAATCTGTTACCTCATCCAGGCTGCATCCCTGCAAAGTGGGGAGTGTGGGCCCCATTTTACAGATGAACTCAGCAAAGGAGAGGGACTTGCCCAAGGTGGGGCATATGGTGGGGACTTCTGGCCCCCTGGAAGGGAATCTCCACGGATGCAGAGTCTGTCTGGCTCCCAGCTATAACCCCAGGCCACAGCCCCCAGCACAGCCATCAGTGCATTGTCAGCAAGCAATACATATCTGGTGAATGAGTAAGTCAGTGAATAGTGAATGATTGCTTGATTCCGTTTGGCCCCAAATCTTTGCCCTTTCCTGGTTTTCACCTAGTCTGGGGAGCTGCAGCTGAAAGCAGAATCCCTGGGCCTTCCTGGTGGAAAAGTCTCCCTGGGCTGTGCTGGTGAGAGCCCCTGGGTGAGAGGCCTTAGCAGTGCCAAGGCCTCCCAGCTTCTGCCTGCTCAGGGAACCCCTGCCCTCACCCCTGCCTGCCGCAGCCATCCCTAGTGGCCACATATAGTCCCAGAAGATGCAGGGAGGGTTTCGCTGCAGAATAAACATATAGGCTGTACATCCAGTGATTCAGAAGATCCTACTGTGCTGGCCTCCCTCTTCCCCAAACCATGCTGTTGCCATAGCAACAGTTGCCAAACTAGAGCTTGCTGAGGGCATCCCAATTAACCCCTTCCTGGTGCACAGGGCCCTCAGTACACCTGTCCACATGGCCTGGATGCCCACAGCACTGATGCCCAGGCTGAGAGACAATGGCACAGGGGCAACTTGTGCCAGACAGAGGCAGGGTGGTATTGTGGGCAGAAATGCAGGCTTTGGCGGTCAAAGGGCCTGAGTTGAATCTCTGCATCAGCTATGCGAACTTGGATACTCCAAGAAAACTTTCAAGCCTCAGTTGCAATATGGACCTAATACTGTGTCCACTCACAGAGCTGTTCTAACAGTAGGCTGGATAAAGAATGCATCATAATGTCCAGTGGAATACGTGGCATGCGGTTAATGCTCGTGACTTTGGGCTGGGTTCATGCTCTCTGCATAGGAGGAGCTGGCCAGCATGCTGTGTGTACATATCCAGTCCACTTCTGTTATGCGGGGCCCCAGGGCATGTTAGGGGTGGGCACATAGTTACAGGCATACAGAACAGGGATTCATCTGGGAAAAAGGAAGCCGGTAGCCTCTCAAGCTGTACCAGGCCTGGAGATTGCCCTGGGAGAGCTCTCTCAAACAGCCCATTCATTCCACCTTGAACTCAACCCTCTCAAGGCCCCACTGGGCTCTGGGACTCCCAGAGTGAGAGGTTTGACTAGAAACCAAGAGGGGTAGGAGGAAGCTGATGGAGGAGGGGGTGGGTCTGTGGGTCTCTGGTGTGCAGAGGGGAGGGCTGCAGAGTCAAGTCCCCTCTCCAAAACGTTAGTGGGCTTGCTTAATAGTCCAGGGCATACCAGCTTAGGGCTGATCAGGGCTGAGTTAAGCAGGGAGGGCAGAGTCCTGGGTGGATGTCAAACTTGGACTTCCTCACACTTATTTTGTGGCTTACGAATACGTCTGAGGGGGTGCGGGTGGGGAGGACAGAAAATGAGGCTGTGCTGGAAGCTCTGGACTCACCTGGTGGCCTGTGGCCATGGCCCCCACCCCACCCCCGCCCCCTGTTAACACCAGTTGAGCAAAGGGACCCTGGGGAAAGCGACAGCAGAGAGTAGACCAGAAAAGGCAGTATTAGTGGCCACTGTTGATTGAGAGTCAGCCAGGGGCCAGAGCGATAACGCAAATAAGGCCACATTCCCTCCACCCACTGCTTAAAGCACTCTGATGGCTTCTCCCTGAGGGACCCAAACCCTCAGCTGTGGCTTACAGAGCCTCTGTCCTGGCCCCAGCCCACCTCTCTGCTCACTTTGCACTTCTCTGTTCCAAGCTGCTCTGCTCCCAGTCACTCAGACTGCTTTGTTTGTGTTGTTGTTTTTCAAATGAATTGCTTCTTTCAGCCTCAGCCTTCTGCACAGTCAAGGCAGGTGCCTCTACCTGAAATGCTCACGTACTCTTTCCCCAGTTCATTTACTGCATCTCATCAGTTACAAGATGTGCCATAGAAAAAAACCCTAACTTTTTATTTGAAATAAGTTCAGACTGAATAAAAGTTGCAAAAAATAGTACAAATAATCTTCATATTCTGTTTTACTCTGATTCCCCAAATGTTAGCTTTCTACCGTGTTTGCATTTGTACTGGTGTGATGAACACTAGAGCTATCTCTGTGCATCTCCTTCCCAACTCCCTCTTCAGTGACTTCATGGCGCCAGCTTTAAATTGGCCACAGAGAGTATTTACACCACAGAAATTGGTATCAGGGCTTTTTTGCCCTGAGAGAGTTGGTTGTTAAACATTTTCAGCATACCACCATTTTATCAATCTCTCTCTTTTATCTTTTTAAAACCTTTTTAAAATCAAATTCCCTCTGTCTCTTTTTTTTTTTTTTTTTTGAGACGGAGTCTTGCTCTGTCGCCAGGCTGGAGTGCGGTGGCGTGATCTCGGCTCACTGCAACCTCCATCTCCCAGGTTCAAGCGATTCTCCTGCCTCAGCCTCCCGAGTAGCTGGGACTACAGGCATGTACCACCACACCCAGCTAATTTTTTTTTTTTTTGTATTTTTAGTAGAGAGGGGGTTTCACCATGTTGGCCAGAATGGTCTCGATTTCTTGACCTCTTGATCCGCCTGCCTCGGCTTCCCAAAGTGCTGGGATTACAGGTGTGAGCCACCGCACCCAGCTCAAATTCCCTCTTTATATGTACAGTGTGTGTGTGTGTTCACTCATTCTTTTTATTTTTTTGTCTGAGGTGGAGTCTCGCTCTGTCTCCCAGGTTGGAGTGCAGTGGTGTGATCTCAGCTCACTGCAACATCCACCTACCAGGTTCAAGTGATTCTCCTGCCTCAGCCTCCCCAGTAGCTGGGACTATAGGCGCACATCACCACGCCTGGCTAATTTTTGTATTTTTAGTAGAGACGAGGTTTCACCATGTTGACCAGGCTGGTCTCGAACTCCTGACCTCAGGTGATCTGCCCACCTCAGCCTCCCAAAGTTCTGGGATTACAGGAGTGAGCCACCTCACCTGGCCTCTTTTTCTTTCCTTTTTTTTTTTTTTTCTGAACTGCTTGAGAGTAGGTGACAGATAAGTGTACCTTTATCCCTAAATACTTTGATACATTCTTCTTCAAAACAAGGACATTCTTTTATATAATAACCACAGTACATTTATTGAAATCAGAAAATTAGCATGGCTACATACAGTTCTATTGTCTGATGTACAGACCTTATTCAACCATCTCCAACCATCCTGCTAATATCCTTTACAGCAAAAGAAGAAAAATATTGGGCACAGTGGAAAACACCTGTAATCTCAGCACTTTGGGAGGCTGAGGCGGAAGGATTGTTCGAGCCTAGGAGTTCAAGACCAGCCTGGACAATATAGTGAGACCCTATCTCTACACACACACACACACACACACACACACACAAGCCAAGTGTGGTGGTGCACACCTGTAGTTCCAGCTTCTTGGGAGGCTGAGGTGGGAGGATCACTTGAACCCAGGAGGTTGAGGCTTCCGTAAGCCTGAATTTCCCACCTCAGGCTTCTAAGTAGCTGGGACTACAGGTGTGCACCATCAGGCCCAGCTAATTTTTGTATTTTTTTGTAGAGACAGGGTTTTGCCCTGTTATTCAGGATGGTCTCAAACTCCTGGGCTTAAGCGATCTGCCCGCCTCAGCCTCCTGAAGTGCTGGGATTACAGGCACACATTGCTACACCTGCCTATTTAATTTTATTTTTTATTTATATATTTTTTAGAGATAAGGTCTCACTATGTTGCCCAGGCTAGAGTGCAGTGGCTATTCACAGGTGTGATCATAGTGCACTACAGCCTCGAACTCCTGACCTCAGCAATCTTTCTGTCTCAGCCTCCTGAATAGCTGGGACTACAGGCACGCACCCCTGTACCTGGCTTTATTATTTTATTTTATTTTATTTTAGCACCTTCTCACTTTCTGGCACAAGATGTTCCAGGATCACTTGTATTTTCCCTGAGCCAACCTCAGGGAATTAGCTATTCTCCAAAGTCCCCTAGTTCCTTTTAGTGGAGAATGGCATTTGGAAACCAAGATTTGGGAGCTAGGGTGCTCCCTGCTCCTGGGGAAGATGCACCCTTTACATTTCTGACCACAGGATGCATTTTAGAGATGATGTCTTACAATCCCCCAGCTTGGCATTTGCCTCTTCTCCTTCTGGCCACCCCAAAAACTGAGCCCAGTAGTGACTGCTCAGCCAGGACCCCTTCCCCACACTTCTCCCCAGGCCGGTCCACATAACCCCTTTGTCCTACCTCTTCTTTCCACTGAGTCAGAGCCCAGGAGCCTACCAACCACAAACTCAGGAATTTTATACCCAGCAAAGCTTGCTGCAGGGCAAGGTAGATTTCTCTTGGATTCTACCCTATTCTGATCTCTGCCACTACACATCCTTCTTTGTTTTAAATTAGGTGGGAGAGAGAAAACTCCTCTGGGGCTGCAGAAGGTCAAAAGAGCTCTTTCAGTAAGCACAAAATAACATTTCTAAGGTTAATTGGCTGAATTTTTGTCTCAGTGTTATCTAAAATAATAGTGTGGATGATCAATAGAGTCTTAGATTCGATGAAATAGATTGCACCCAGTTATCCTTCAAAACTGAGCTCACACCACTACTCCTGAGTACTTTTCCTCTGTGTCCCTCAACACAATCAGTAACATGGATTTGGGGGTCACTGTTGGTCCATATCTCTCTGAGTGCCTTGCAAGTGGACTCACCTCTGTGTCTATCATGTTATCATATCTGTATCCTCAATGTGAGGTGCAGTTAGGCACTCAATAAGGATTTGTGGAATAAATGGCTGGATTAATTTAATCTTCTCAACAAGCCTGCAAGCACAGATGACGTTTTCTACTTTACGGGTGGAGAAACTGAGGCTCCTAGAGCCAAAGTTTGTTCAATATTACTTCGCCAGTAAATGGTAGACTCCAGATGCAAACCCAGGTGTGTCAGATTCCTATGTCTGTACAAAGTGTGTCAGTGGAGGAAATGATTTTCGTGAAGAATTGAATTCTTATTCCCATGATGAGGTTGGTCCCCAGAGTGTATAAATTCCTAGAAATTGGGGCAGCACAAATAAGGCTGGGCGCGTTGGCTCATGCCTGTAATCCCAGCACTTTGGGAGGCTGAGGCAGGTAGATCACTTGAGGTCAGGAGTTTGAGACCAGCCTGACCAACACGGTGAAACCCCGTCTCTACTAAATACAAAAAATTAGGCGGGCGTGGTGGCACATACCTGTAATCCCAGCTACTCAGGAGGCTGAGGCAGGAGAATCGCTTGAACCCGGGAGGCGGAGGTTGCAATGAGCTGAGATCACGTCATTGCACACCAGCCTGGGCAACAAGAGCAAAACTCCTTCTTAAAAAAAAAAAAAAGATGCAAGAAAGGACACAGAAGAGAGGGGCTGGTGCTGCAAAACCAGTTTCCACAGGTGGCCACAGTCACTCAGCTCATACTGCCACTAGGTTGGCCTGGGTTGCCCTGCCCCTCTATGGGAGGGCCAGGCAGAGGCATGGGTAAAGGGCAAGCAACCTGGCTGGGCCTGCCTGACCCCAGGCATGGGCCTTGGCCCCTTGTGCTGCCCGACTAGCCCTGGCCTGTGAAGGGAACTTCCACACAGACAGGCACTTTTGGAAATAATTTGAGAGGCATTAAGAAGATCATCTCGATTTCTTGATTATATGCTAAATAAGGGGTGAATAATTCATGAGTGGGGATTTCCTGGGACTAAGGGTCCCTCCCCTGTTTAGACCATATAGGGTAACTTCCTGACCTGACGCTGCCATGGCATTTGTAAACTGTTACGGGGCTGGTGGAAGTGTCTTTTAGCATACTAATACATTATAATTAGTGTATAATGAGCAGTGAGGATGGCCAGAGGTCACTTTGGTCACCATCTTGGTTTTGGTGAGTTTTAGCCAGCTTCTTTGCCACATCGTGTTTTATCAGGAGGGTCTTTGTGAACTGTTTCTTGTTCTGACCTCCTGTCTCATCCTGTCACTAAGAATGCCTAACCTGGGCCTGACGTGGTGGCTCATGCCTGTAATCCCAGCACTTTGGGAGGCTGAGGCATTGGATCACCTGAGGTCAGCTTGACCAACGTGGTTAAACCCCTCCTCTACTAAATACAAAAAATTAGCCAGGTGTGGTGGCACATGCCTGTAATCCCAGCTACTTGGGAGGCCAAGGCAGGAGAATCGCTTGAACCTGGGACGCGGAGGTTGCAGTGAGCCAAGATTGCACCATTGCACTCCAGTCTGGGTGACAAGAGTGAAACGCCATCTCAGAAAAGGAAGACCATCTCCTCTTCTAAGCAGATTTCTGTCCTAGAAATACCACAAATTATAATAACCACTCAACACTTATATACACTGACTAGGTGCCAAGTACTCACTTAATCTTCACGACAGCCCTGTGAGGTTGGGGTTATTTCCCTATTTTACAGATGAGGGTGCTGAGACACAAAGAGCAACTTGCCCAAGGTCATGATCTGGAATGTGAACTTCTTTGTTGTTTTGTTTTGTTTTGTTTTGTTTGAGACAGGGTCTTGCTTTTATTCCCAGGTTGGTGTACAGTGGTGCAATCATGGCTCACTGCAGCCTCGACCTCCTGGGCTCAGGTGATCCTCCCACCTCAGCCTCCTGAGTGTCTGGAACCACAGGCTCGAAGCAAGACTGCCAGCTAATTTTTTTTTTTGTTTTATTTTGTTTTGTTTTGTTTTGAGATGGAGTCTCGCTCTGTCGCCCAGGCTAGAGTGCAGTGGCGTGATCTCGGCTCACTCCAAGCTCCGCCTCGTGGGTTCACGCCATTCTTCTGCCTCAGCCTCCTGAGTAGCTGGGACTACAGGCGCCGCCACCACACCTGGCTAATTTTTTGTATTTTTAGTAGAGATGGGGTTTCACCGTGTTAGCCAGGATGGTCTCGATCTCCTGACCTCGTGATCCGCCCACCTAAGCCTCCCAAAGTGCTGGGATTACAGGCATGAGCCACCACACCCGGTTTTTTTTTTTTTTTTTTTTTTTTTTTTAGAGACAGAGTCTTGCTCTGTTGCCCAGGCTGGTTTCAAACTCCTGGCCTCAAGCAATTCTCCTGCCTCGGCCTCCCAAAGTGCTGGGACTCCAGGCGTGAGCCACCGTGCCCAGGCAAGGAATCTGATCTTGAACCAAGATCGTGCCATTGTACTCCAGCCTGGACGACAGAGCAAGACTCTGTCTCAATAAATAAATAAATAAATAAATAAATAAAGACGGGATGGCTTTAGGCCAGGCATGTTGGCTCATGCCTGTAATCCCAGCAAATTTGGGAGGCAGAGGCGGGAGGATCACTTGAGGCCAGGAGTTTGAGACCACCCTGGGCAACATAGGGAGAGCTCGTCTCTACAAAAAAATAGATAAAACAAAACAAAACAAAACAAAAAACTAGCTGTGGCAGCATGTGCCCCTAGTCCCAGCTACTCAGGAGGCTGAGGAAGGAGGATTGTTTAAGCCTGGGAGGTCGAGGCTACAGTGAACCATGATTGTGCCATTGTACTCCAGCCTGAGCAACAGAGTGAGACCTCGTTTCAAAAAAAAAAAAAAACAAAACAAAAAACAAAAAACAGATGGCTTCAGAGGAAGCTGATCATTACCAGACACTGAATCTGCCGACACGTTGACTGTGGACTTCCCAGAACCATGAGAAATCTATTTCTGTTGTTTATAAGCCAGCCATTTTATAAAATACCATTTTATGGTATTTTATTATAGCAGCCCAAATGAACTAAGACCGGGCATCATTATCACCTGGCCATCTATCTCTTATTGGGGTGGAGACACCAGTAGCACTGTCCAGTGCTACTCAGTGGAGAGTGACAGTTTGCTTTCCTTCCATGTGTCCTGTCTACACATCCACAGGAGGTGTGGCTGCTAGAGGGGTGAGGGTGAGCTGAGGGGCTGAGGCTGGCTCCTAGCAGGAAAGGGCTGACCTGCTTGTTGAGTCGGAGCCTCTGACATCAGAGCCCTGCCTCCCTCCCACCTCCACCCACACAACTTACACAAGCTCCTCTCCCCGGGCCACCCCAGACCTAAGCTCAGCGTGATGACGACGCAGTCACGGGTTTGCCTCTGAAATTCCCCTCCAGGAGAGCAGTGGCGGGCCTGTGCACGGCCTACCCCTTACATGGCTGCTGATGGAGGAAGCTGATGAGGGTGGGGAGGGGACGGGCAGTGAAGGACGGGGGAGGTTATAGGAGAAAGAAAGAGGAAGAGGAGGAGGAGGCATGGGCTGGTGGAGATAGGGTAGGGTGGTTGAACTGGATACACTGTCTGGATACACTGTCCAGATTTGGGCTCAGCCTTCAGGCAGGACTGGGGTGTTGGCACTGGCTAAGGGAGATTAGAACTCAGGCTTCCAGCCATGTCTGATCCAAAAGGACACCCCACTCCAGGTTCCCTCCTCTCCAAACATCACTCTAGGATCCAGGCTCCTTGTGACACTCCTATCTGGGGTCAGGGACCTCTTCCAGGAATTTATAAGAGTTGGGGCCCCCATCCTAGGAAAATCTTCCTCCACACAATCTTGAGCTACTACTACCCAGGCCATCTGTGGACCCTCCTAGAATTCTCATTAGGAACCTCAAAGCAAAGGGGGAAACAGCATTTCCCCAAGAGTTGGCAAGGATGCTTGCAAAAATAGACTCCCAGGCCTGACCTCAGCTATACTGAGGCAGACCCTGGAGGAGTGGTCTGGGGCCTACTTTTTTTTTTCTTTTCTTTTTTTTTTGAGATGGAGTCTTGCTCTGTTGCCCGGGCTGGAGTGCAGTGTCACGATCTCGGCTCACTGCAACCTCTGCCTCCCGGGTTCAAGCGATTTTCCTGCTTCAGCCTCCTGAGTAGCTGGGACTACCGGTGCACGCCACCACGCTCGGCTAAGTTTTGTATTTTTAGTAGAAATGGAGTTTTACATTGTTGGTCAAGCTGGTCTCAAACTCCTGACCTCAAGTGATCCGCCTGCCTCGGCCTCCCAAAGTGCTGGGATTACAGGCATGAGCCACTGTGCCCAGCCTGGGACCTACATTTTAAACAGGACACCAGATAAGTCTGGGAAGCTGGCTGAGGGTAGTTGTAGAGAGGGTTAGAGGAGAGGGTATTGGATAAAAAGGTAGATTCCTGGCTCCGTCTTCAGAGATTTGGATTTGGAATGGTAGGCTGGGTTCAGGAATCTGCATTTTAATCAAACAGCCCAGTGATTTTGATGCTGAGAGACCTTGAAGGAGGCCTGGAAGAGCTAAGAGCCAGCCCTAAGTGATCAGACTAGGTGGGGGCACAGGAAGGCCTGCGATAGATTCATGTGGTTTTCCAGAAAACTGCTCTAGCAACAGATTTGCCAGGCCAGGAAACTGGCTCTCCCCAGGGCTCCCAGTGAAAGGCTGTAAGGTGGGCTGGCCCAGGAGATCTTCTCCTTTCCAGTTAGGCAGCAGGGTGTGAGTCCCAATTTTGTATTCACCACCTGTGAGGCCTTGGCCAAGTCTCCTGGGGCCTCAGTTTCTCTGCCAGTGAAATGAGAGGCCTTTCCAACTCCAACAGTCTGTGACCATGTCATGATGGCCCTGGCCACGTTTCAGGGCAGCGTGCAATCCTCATCCAGCCAGCCCTCCCGACTGGCACCCTGCCCCTCCCTGGGAGAGGGCCTGGGGCCAAGAGGCTATCAGCTCAAGTCCTTCTCCACACTAGCTTTCCTTGAGGTGTGCAGCTGGAAGGGCCGCTCTCTCATCTGGAGTTGTCCCCATCCCCTGGGGCACCACGAGTGTTTGGCCTGAGTGGTTGCTGGTGTGTGTGGGAGGTGGGAGGGGCAGGGCTGGGCTGGAGACTGGAGATCAGGTGGGAATGTCAGGCCCCTGAGGCTGACACCAGCACGGCCCTATCCTCCTGCCTTCTCTGGGGGAAGCATTTCCAGGCCTGAGTGGATGTATCTAGGGTCCTGCCTGGGTGTAGTACACAGAAGGGCAGTGCCTTGGGCCTCTCCACCAAGGCTCTGGAGAGAAGATTCCTGGGAATGCGGTAACCGTGCAGGTGGCTTCCCCAGCCTACCGCTTGCTCTCTGGGCAGATCATGTACCTTTCAGCCACTGTGTGCTCCTGCACACTCCTCCCTTCTCTGCTTGCTTCTCTCCCCACCCCACTCCCTCCCTCTCCAGCTTTCTGATTTGGAAGGACGGCTGTGGGCAGCTGGCTACAACAACCCTTGCTCCCCCAGCCCATATATCCAGATTCCAAAATCCTTAGGAAGTAGAGTTGGAGGGAAGATGAGAGAGGGAACCCAAACTAAACATTTGGCTTCCTCCCTACTCAAAGTTCTCAGCACCACTGTTTTGTATAAGAAACCCACAGACTGAGAAAACCATAAGAGTGTCCAGGCGGCCGGGCGCGGTGGCTCACACCTGTAATCCCAGCACTTTGGGAGGCCGAGGCGGGTGGGTCACGAGGTCAAGAGATCGAGACCATCCTGGCCAACATGGTGAAACCCCATTTCTACTAAAAGTACAAAAAAAAAAAATTAGCTGGGCATTGTGGCGTGCACCTATAGTCCCAACTACTCGGAAGGCTAAGTCAGGAGAATCGCTTGAACCTGGGAGGCGGAGGTTGCAGTGAGCCAAGATCGCGCCACTGCACTCCAGTCTGGCGACAGAGTGAGACTCCGTTTCAAAAAAAAAAGAAAAAGAAAACCATAAGAGTTATAAGAGAGGAAAAGCTCATTCAGTCCTTTCATTCAACGGGTATTTATCGAGCACCTACTATGTGCCAGGCTCCAGGGAGAACAGTGAGCAGATGACGTAGTGTTTGCCCTCATGGAGGCATCAACTTGAGGGGAGTGGAGGCCCTCTCTGGGGGCCTTTTGTGGCTTCCTGCCTTGCTTGGTGGTGAACAGTTGTCCCTGGTCCCAGTCTTCCACACCGGGGAATAGAGCAGAATCGAGCAGCTGTTCTGAACATTTGCTCTCTATGGAGCTCCCCGAGGCCTCACTTTCCACTTGTCCCCGAGCCTCTGGGCATTTACCCCTGGGGAAGCCGTCCCTCCCCATTCCTTCTTGCCTCCCTCTCTCTCTCCCCTGATTTTAGCCCTGGCTGGTGGTTCTCAGTCTTGGCCCATCAAGCCCATCAGCGTCCCTGTTGGAGCTTTCACTGAGCAAGGCCCTGCCCCAGGATGGTCTCCCTCTGGAGGTGCAGGGGCGGGACGTGGACTCTGGATATTTTAAAGCTCTCCGGGTCTTTCTGAGACAATTACAGATTGAGAGCTTGACCCCTGAGGAAAAGGCCCGTGGGCATTTCCCCCTGGATGACCTGGAGCTGTGACATACAGAGGGGTGGGCCCAACAGGTTCAGAGGTGGACCAGCTGTGGGGCTGATTTCACTCAGGTGGGGCAGTGAGAGGCAGGGACCCTCTGCTTGCTCCTCAGGCCACTCCTACAGCCCTTTGTTCCCTGAAGGCTGCAGAGGGATCTGGGGCAGAGCCTGAGTTCAAGGAGGAGAAGGTGGAAGAGAATAGACATAGAGCAGCCCCAGCTTATTTCTCTCCTTTCCCTCTTTAGTCTTCCTTATCTTTCAGGGCACTGTTCAAATTTCATCTCCTCCAGGAAGCCTTCCCTGATTGCCCAGATCAAAACCAACCAATCAATTCCTCATAGGGCTTCCACGAGTATTTCCTTTTGATTCACTATTTTTTTTTTTGAGACAGAGTCTCACTCTGTCACCGAGGCTGGAGTGCAGTGGCACTGTGTCAGCTCACTGCAACCTCCATCTCCTGGGTTCAAGCAATTCTTCTGCCTCAGCCTCCTGAGTAGCTGGAATTACAGGCGTCCACAACTGCGCCCAGCTAGTTTTTATATTTTTAGTGGAGACGGGGTTTCACCATGTTGGCCAGGCTGGTCTTGAACTCCTGACCTCAGGTGATCCACCTGCCTTGGCCTCCCAAAGTGCTGGGATTACAGGTGTTAGCCACTGCGCCCAGCCTCATTTTGTATACTTGATTCATTAAATTTGGATTCGGAAATGACTTTGAAGTTGATCCACTCTCATTCTGCTTCAGGCAGGCCCATAGTACATGCCGTGGATGTGCACACCTCACCCCAAAGCCAGAGCCCCAGGTACCTGAGGCCACCTACAGCTGGCCTAGAGCTCCTGAAGGACTGGGATCTCGGCAGCTCTCTTGAACCCCTCTGACTGCAGTCCAGTGCTAGGGCTCCAGCTGCTGAAGCCTTTCACCTGTGGGAACCAGGCGACGCGTTGCCCCATCCCTCCTTCAGAAGCTGCAGCCAGAAAACCTGCAGCAAGATTCTAGGCAAAGAGCCCTTCCTAGGCCAGGAACAGTGGCTCACGCCTGTAATCCCAGCACTTTGGGAGGCTGGGGGGGCGGGGCGGGGGTGGATCACCTGAGGTCAAGAGTTCAAGACCAGCCTGACCAACATGGTGAAACCCTGTCTCTACCAAAAATACAAAAAAAAAAAAAAAAAATTAGCCAGGTGTAGGGCGGGTGTCTGTAATCCCAGCTACTTGGGAGGCTGAGGCAGGAGAATTGCCTGAACCCGGGAGGCGGAGCTTGCAGTGAGCCGAGATCACGCCACTGCACTCCAGCCTGGGCGACAGAGTGAGACTCCGTCTCAAAAAAAAAAAAAAAAAAAAGAGCCCTTCCTGTAGATGTGCAGGGCCAGATGATCAGGGCCCCGCCTGGAAAAAATTATGGAGCCCCTCCCCTCAAATGTAATGCAAGAAAAACCATATCAAAAAATAAAAAGCCCAGGCTGGGCATGGTGTCTCACGCCTGTAATTCCAGCACTTTGGGAGGCCGAGGCGGGTGGATCACCTGAGGTCAGGAGTCCAAGACCAGCCTGGCCAATATAGTGAAACCCCGTCTCTACTAAAAGTATAAAAATTAGCCGGGCGTGGTGGTGGGCACCTGTAATCCCAGCTACTTGGGAGGCTGAGGCAGGAGAATTGCTTGAACCCAGGAGATAGAGGCTGTAGTGAGCTGATACGGTGCCATTGGACTCCAGCCTGGGAGACAGAGTGAGACTCCGTCTCAAAAAAAATAAATAAATAAAATAAACAAAATAATAAATAAAATAAAAAGCCCAATAAAGAATGTGATTTTTAGCCGGGCACAGTGGCTCACACCTGTAATCCCAACATTTGGGAGGGTGAGGCAGGCAGATCACTTGAGGTCAGCAGTTCGAGATCAGCCCAGCCAACATGGTGAAACCCCATCTACTGAAAATACAAAAATTAGCTAGGCATGGTGGCACGTGCCTGTAATCCCAGCTACTCGAGAGGCTGAAGCAGGAGAATCACTTGAACCCGGGAGGCAGAGGTTGCAGTGAGCCGAGATCGCGTCACTGCACTCCAGCCTGGGCAACAGAGTGAGACTCTGTCTCAAAAAAAAAAAAAAAATGTTATTTTCTCCATGATGACTTTTTTGTTTCTTAAATATCATGTTCTAAAAACTTTTTCTTTGTTTTTTTTTCCTTTTTGTGGAGAACGGGGTCTCGCTATATCGCCCAGGTAGATCTTGAACTCCTGGGATCAAGCTATCTTCCTGCCTCTGCCTCCCTGAAAGCTGGGATTACAGGCATGAGCCACCGTGTCTGGCTCTCAAAATTTTTTCTCACTTTCTTTATTGTCCTGCTTTGCTGGTGACCTCAGCATGTATTACTCTGTGTATTGGGAAGTCCAGATTTCCGTGTGTGTATGTGTCTATGTGCACAGATACGTGCTGCATGCAAATATCACCCATACCTAGAAATGTACACACACACACACACACACACACACACACACACACACACACTCCATATTGACTAGTGGTTCTCAATTATGGCTGCATATTGGGAATACCTGGGGAGTAAAAAAATCCCAGTGCTCATGCTGCACCCTAATTAAAATAAATCAGTAGCCTTGGTGCGGTGGCTCATGCCTGTAATCCTAGCACTTTGGGAAGCTCAGGCGGGTGGATCACCTGAGTTCAGGAGTTCGAGACTGGCCTGGCCAGCCAGGCCAACATGGTGAAACCCTGTCTCTACTAAAAATACAAAAACTTAGCCAGGCATGGTGGTGGGCGCCTGTAATCCCAGCTACTCAGGAGGCTGAGGCAAGAGAATCGCTTGAACCCGGGAAGCGGAGGTTGCAGTGAGCCGAGATGGCACCATTGCACTCCAGCCTGGGCAACAAGAGTGAAACTCCAAAAACAAACAAACAAACAAAAATAAATCAGAACCGCTAGGAGCAGGACCCAGGTGTCAGTAGCTTGTAAATCTCCCCAGATGATTTCAATGTGTCATCAAGGCTGAGAACCACTGATGTAAACTGCAGCTTTCCTGACAGAATTCCTTTACTGAGCAGTTAACAAGAGTTGCATTCAGACTCAGAAACTGTTAAGAGACTGCACTTGGAGAGTAGCGGGCAGTAAAATGAAAAAACGCTTGGCCTGGATGCATTGTTCTCACCTGCAAAGTGAGGCTATTGGACAAGACCATCTGTGGAGTCCCACCCGACTCTTAGAAAATGCTTTGATTGCAGTATGTCCAGGAAGGAGAGAAAGAAATACACTGTTCAAGCAGAGGCCAGGCCCCTCTCTAGAGGCTGATGCGCGCTGGAGTTCTGAGCATCTACTGCACCATAGCTGCTTTTCTTTTTATCATGGGCATAAACCAAGGGCACCCTTGCCCACCTCCTCACTGGACAAACAGCAGCCAATCTGAGCTGCTGGGGACCAGCGATTAGGGAGGGATTATTGAGTGTGGTTCACAGGGGACCTGGAGTCTTGCAGCCAGCTCAAGAATCTGAAGTCCAGACCGAACGCAGTGGCTCACGCCTGTAATCCCAAAACCCTGGGAGGCTGATGGGGGCGGATCACCTGAGGTCAGGAGTTTGAGACCAGCCTGGCCAACATGGTGAAACCCCGTCTCCATTAAAAATACAAAAATTAGCCAGCCGTGGTGACGGGTGTCTGTAATCCCAGCTACTCGGGAGGCTGAGACATGAGAATTGCTTGAACCTGGGGGCAGAGGTTGAGCTGAGATCGCGCCACTGCACTCCAGCCTGGGCAACAGAGCGGGACTTTGTCTTAAAAAAAAAGAGTCTGAAGTCCAAACACAACGAAGGGTAGAAGGATTAGATAAGGCTGTGCACGGAAGGGGGCGTGAGCTGAGGGAACAGGGACAGTGGGCCTTTGGCTGCTTGGACTGTGAAAAGTTTATTTGTTAATTACAGCTTGAGTATCCCTTATCTAAAATGTGTGGAACCAGGTTGAATTTCAAAATATTTGCATATACATAATGAGAGATCTTGGGAATGCAACTGAAGTCTAGCCATTAAATTCACTTAGGTTTCACATACACATAGTCTGAAGGTGATTTTATACAATGTTTTTAATAATTTTGTACATGAAACAAAGTTTTTGACTGCATTTTGACTTCAACCCATTACATGCAGCCAGGTGTGGAATTTTCCACTTGTGGCATCATGTCGCCATTCTCGCCATTCAAAATCTTTTGCATTTTAGGCAGGGTGCGGTGGCTCCCACCTGTAATCCCAGCACTTTGGGAGGCCGAGGTGGGTGGATCACCTGAGGTCAGGAGTTCGAGACCAGTCTGGCCAATATGGCGAAACCTCTTCACTAATAAAAAATATATATATAAGGCTGGGTGCGGTGGCTCATGTCTGTAATCCCAGCACTTTCGGAGGCTGAGGTGGGCAGATCACGAGGTCAGGAGATCGAGACCATCCTGGCTAACACAGTGAAACCCCGTCTCTACTAAAAATACAAAAAATTAGCCGGGCGTCATGCGGGCGCCTGTAGTCCCAGCTACTCAGGAGGCTGAGGCAGGAGAATGGCGTGAACCTGGGAGGCGAGCTTGCAGTGAGCCGAGATCATGCCACTGCACTCCAACCTGGGTGACAGAGCAAGACTCTGTCTCAAAAAAAAAAAAAAAAAAAAAAAAATATATATATATATATATATGTATATATAAATTAGCCAGGCATGGCCGAGCACGGTAGCTCATGCCTGTAATCCCAGCACTTTGGGAGGCCAAGGCGGGTAGATCACGAGGTCAGGAGTTCGAGACCATCCTGGCTAACACGGTGAAACCCATCTCTACTAAAAATACAAAAAATTAGCCGGGCGTGGTGGCACGTGCCTGTAATCCCAGATACTCCGGAGGCTGAGACAGGAGAATCGCCTGAACCTGGGAGGCAAAGGTTGCAGATCATACTACTGTACTCCAGGCTGGGTGAGACTCCATCTGAAAACAAAAACAAAAACAAAACAAAAAAATCTGTTGCATTTGGCCGATCGCTTTGGCTCATGCCTGTAATCCCAGCACTTTGGGAGGCCGAGGTGGGTGGATCACGACGTCAGGAGATCGAGACCATCCTGGCTAACATGGTGAAACCCTGTCTCTACTAAAAATACAAAAAATTAGCTGGGTGTGGTGACGGGTGCCTGTAGTCCCAGCTACTCGGGAGGCTGAGGCAGGAGAATGGCATGAACCCGGGACGGAAAAAAAAAAAAAATCTGTTGCATTTTAGAATTTTTTTTTAAGATTTTTTTTTAAATGTAGAGACAGGGTTTCTCCATGTTGGTCAGGCTGGTCTCGAACTCCTGACCTCAGGTGATCCGCCCACCTTGGCCTCCCAAAGTGCTGGGATTACAGGCGTGAGCCACCATGCCCGGCAAAAGTAAGGTCTTCTTAAAGTAAAAATTTGAACAATATTGACGTATGCAGATAATAAATGAAAATTTTCCCACTCACCAGGTCCTCCCTAATTCTACTTCCCTTTCTCACCATTTTGGTGTTTATCCTTTCAGGCAATTTTCTTTCTTTCCCTTTTCTTTTTAAGTTCAGCTTTTTTTTTTTTTTTTTTTTTTTTTTTTTTTTTTTTTAGGAGCTGGGATTACAGGCATGCGCCACCATGCCCGGCTAATTTTTTTATTTTTAGTAGAGACATGGTTTTACCACTAAGTTCAGCTTTTGATCGAATATATTATAAAAGAGGTTTAGTCAGAAAGACCAAAGCCCATGTCATCATCAGAGTCCTCAAATTCTTCTTTCTTTGCTTCCATTTTCTTCTCCTCAGCTGGAGCAGCAGCAGTGGAGGTGGGCAACCAAGGCAGAAATGGGCGTACGCATGGAGGAAGAATGGAGAGAGTATGCGCATTCTTGGCTGACCACGGTGGCTCATGCCTATTATCCCAGCACTTAGGGAGGTTGATGCGGGTGGATCACCTCCTGCTGGTGCAGCACCAGCTGCTGGAGCAGGTCCTCCAGCCCCTACATTGCAGATGAGGCTCCTAATGTTGACATTGGCCGGGGCCTTTGCAAACAAGCCAGGCCGAAAAGGTTCAACATTTACACCAGCTGCTTTAATGAGGGCCTTGATCTTATACTCTGTGACAGTCACCTCATTGTCGTGCAGAATGAGGGCTGAGTAGATGCAGGCGAGCTCGGAGATGGAGGCCATGGCGCGGGCGAGTGTGGGACTGGCGCTGCCGGACGCAGTGCTAGTCACTGGATGAAGTGAGGGCCTCACCTCAATGTGTCCTTAGCTTCCTCGGAAGGACCGAACACCTTGGCAGCAGCTGAGGAAAGCTCAGGCAATTTTCTATATGCTTATGTTGTGTGTTTTGTTTTTATTGTTTTAAAAAACTTGGGTCGTATTCTACAAATTATTCTGCAAATTGTTTTATCAACAGTGTACCATGATCTCCTCTGTGCCTGTTCCTAAGTCAGAGTTACTTTTGTTTTTGAGTCAGGGTCTCACTCTGTCACCCAGGCTGGAGTGCAGTGATGCTATCACAGCTCGCTGTAACCTCAAACTCCTGGGCTCAAGTGATCCTCCCACCTCAGCCTCCCAAGTAGCTGGGACTATAGGCACACACCACCACACTTCGCT
The DNA here is from genome assembly GCF_000001405.40 of Homo sapiens. Taxonomy (NCBI): domain Eukaryota; kingdom Metazoa; phylum Chordata; class Mammalia; order Primates; family Hominidae; genus Homo; species Homo sapiens. The sequence goes on along the minus strand of NC_000014.9, from coordinate 76,968,250 downwards.
AATTTTTAAATTTTTTTTGCACAGACAGGTTCTCAATATGTTGCCCAGACTGGTCTCGAACTCCTAGCCTCAAGCAATTCTCCTGCCTTGGCCTTCCAAAGCTCTGGGATTACAAGTGTGAGCCGCCATGCCTGGCCCAGAGCTACTTTTTTCCTTTTGGCAGCTGTTGGAGTTCCATGGCCTCTGACCATTTACAGGAATGCTGTAGCCAGTGTACTTGTTGAGCTATTTCTGTAGGATACTTTCCTAAAAGTGGAGTGGTTAGTTCTGGATTGTGGTCAGAGGTGGGCAACCAAGGCAGAAATGGGCGTACGCATGGAGGAAGAATGGAGAGAGTATGTGCATTCTCGGCTGACCACGGTGGCTCATGCCTATTATTCCAGCACTTAGGGAGGTTGATGCGGGTGGATCACCTGAGGTCGGGAGTTTGAGACCAGGATGGACAACATGGTGAAACCCCATCTCTACTAAACATACAAAAATTAGCCGGGCATGGTGGCATGTGCCTGTAATCCCAGCTACTCGGGAGGCTGGGGCATGAGAATTGCTTGAACCTGGGAGGCTGAGGTTGCAGTGAGCCAAGATCCGCACCACTGCGCTCCAGCCTGGGTGAAAGAGAGAAACGCATCTCAAAAAAGAGAGTCTTACTGTATCCCCCAGGCTGGAGTGCAGTGGCACAATCTCCGTTCACTGCAACCTCCGCCTCCCGGGTTCAAGCAATTGTCATGCCTCAGCCTCCTGAGTAGCTGGGATTACAGGCGCCCGCCACCACACCCAACTAATTTTTGTATTTTTAGTAGAGATGGGGTTTTGTCACGTTGGCCAGCTGGTTTCCAACTCCTGACCTCAAGCGATCCGCCCACCTCAGCCTCACAAAGTGCTGGGATTACAGGCATGAGCCACTGCGCCCGGCAATGGGATGGATTTTATCCAAATGTCCCCCAAAAAGCGCTGTAGTCCCACCTGCGTACCCTCTGCCTTAGAACCTCATCAATGCTGGGGATACTAACCCTTTATATTTTTCCCAATGTGAATGGAGAATGTGAACAGGGCTTAAAGAAAATGTAAACGGTACCTAAAATGCAACCCTGTGGGGCTCTGAGTTGGCCGGCAGGGTCCTGTTTTCCCAGGTGGGATGAAGTGGGGAGTGAAAGGGGAGTGATTCTGGTCTTCAACATGCCAAGTGGGAGGAAGAGGAAACACTGGCAGGGGCTCCAGGTGGTTGTGTGTGTGTTGGCAGGTGAGGTGGGGGGGTTTAGTGACAAGGGGAGCATGAAGGGATTATCCATGCCAGCCCAAGGCCTGGGACCCAGCAGCCCACTGAGGGAGCTAGAGAGGCAGGAGAATGCAGTGGGAAGGATGCGGCCACCTGAAGCTAGACTGTCTCAGTTCAAATCCCAGTGTCACCACTTACTTGCAGCATAATTTTGAGCAGGTGATGTAACCCCTATATCTTCCATTTCCCCATCTCTCTTTTTTTTTTTTTCCGTTTTCTGAGACTATGTCTCTCTCTGTCACCCAGGCTGGAGTACAATGGTGAGATATCACTGCACTCTCTGCCTCCTGGACTCCAGTGATAAGCGATTCTCCTGTCTCAGCCTCCCGAGTAGCTGGGACTTGGGACTACAGGCGTACGCCACCACACCCAGCTAATTTTTCTTTCTTTCTTTCATTTTTCTTTCCTCTTTTTTTTTTTTTTTTTTTTTTTTTTTGAGACAGAGTCTCGCTCTGTCACCCAGGCTGGAGTGCAGTGGTGCGACCTTGGCTTACTGCAACCTCTGCCTCCTGGATTCAAGCAATTCTCCTGCCTCAGCCTCCCGTGTAGCTGGGACTACAGGTGCCCGCCACCAAGCCCAGCTAATTTTTTTTGTATTTTTAGTAGAGAAGAGGTTTTACCACGTTGGCCAGGCTGGTCTCGAACTCCTGACCTCAGGTGATCCACCTGCCTCGGCCTCCCAAAGTGGTGGGATTACAGGCGTGAGCAACCATGCCTGGCCACGCTGTCTATTAAATAGGGCTTGAAGAAGTGGTCTTCCTCAGCCTCTAGGGAGAGGATTACTGGCAAAGTTTAGAATGGTGCCTAGCAATAAATGTTAGCCTGGAGTGAGTTTCCAGTTGGCAAACCATCCTCCACCCCAACACACACCTTCCTACTCCCCTTCTATAGGGTAACCACTATTAACAGTTTGGGGTATGTTATTCCAGACTCTTGGAAACATCTAATCACATGGACTTGTGTGTGCATGCAGCTGCCTGTGACAGTTAAAAGCTCACTTAAACGAAATGGAGTTTCAAGGCTCAGAAACTGTGCAAGTCCAGATATAATGCTGACTTTGATCAAGACTTGACTCAGCCATACAGCGTCCCCACAGACCTGGGTCTCTGTCGCTTCTGTCTTTTGATGTCTGAACTTTCTCTCGAGATTCCATTAGGTGTGTGTGTTCTTCCCCTTCCTCAGCTCCATGGCCTTCCCTCATGGGACAAAAAGCCTGCCACGGTCCTAGACCTCCATCCTCAAACCACAGGATCCAAGGGAAGGCAGAATGCGTCCTCTGTAGCTTGGATGGTTCTGTGGGTCTAATTGTTCATCTGACAATCACTAGGTCTATGGTCTTGGCCGTACCCATTTTCTTTATCTGTAAAACGAGGACATTAAACTAGAATGTTTTAAAGAATCTCAGGTTCTCTTGTGCTCTAGAGTTCGTGCCCTGATTGAAGGTAGTTTATAGCCATGGGAGAGGTGGCTTTAGCAGGAAATGGCATCTAGAAAAAGGGAGGGGAGGAGAGGGCCTGGAGGGCCCCACCTTGCACACTGGCAGAACATACCCAGGTGGGTGGTGTTCAGATCTGGGCATGTCTGTCTCTGGGAGCCAAAAAACTGGATTGTGGTTGGAGGCAGGCAACCGAGGCAGAAATGGGCCTGGGGGTGGAGAAAGAAGAATGGAGAGAAGTGGGAGCGTTTAATCTGGGGAAGAGAAAGACAGGGGTCGTGGAGGGAGGTGGCAGTGCTGTGGGTAAAGGCCTCCTGGACTGACTCTGCAGCGGGGTGAGGAAGGACTGGACACAGTCACTGCGGCCCCTGGGGAAGCAAAGGAACAGTGGCTAGGATTTACAGTGCTTTATTTTGGCACAAAATTAGAAATATTTCCTTAAAAGATTTAAATACATTTAAATAACACTTTGCCAAAAGGTAAAAAGATCACAGAAGAGGATATTTGGGGCCCACACTGCTCCTGAGAGCCGGCCTAGCCTTAGGCTCCTCCCCCAGCCTGCTACTCCCAGGCTCAGAACCAAATGCTTTTTGTCACTCTCCCTCCGCCACCACCACCACTGAAACAGTGCTCACCACTGTTCTCACCTACCTGGCCTTTCAGCAGCATGCCACACCATCGGCCACACCTTCTCCTGTGAGCTGGGTTTCCCCCCACCCACCCTCTCCAAGTGGTCCTCCGTGGACTGCTCCTTCTCTGGTCCTTTGCTGGGGTCATTCTCTGTCAGTCACCTCTTTTTTTTTTTTTTCTTTTGAGACAGAGTCTTGGTCTGTCGCTCAGGTTGGAGTGCAGTGTCGTGATATCAGCTCACTGCAAGCTCTGCCTCCAGGATTCAAGAGATTCTCTTGCCTCAGCCTCCTGAGTAGCTGGGATTACAGGTGCATGCCACCATGACCCGCTAATTTTTTGTATTTTAGTAGAGATGGGGTTTCTCCACGTTGGCCAGCCTGGTCTTGAACTCCTGGCCTCAAGTGATCCACCCACCTCGGCCTCCCAAAGTGTGGGGATTACAGGCGTAAGCCACCGTGCCCAGCCTCTGCCAGTCATTTCTATCCTGCGTTTCCCTGGCTCGTGTCCCAGGCCTTTCAATCATCCCATCTTCTCACTCTATACCCTGCCTCCGTGTGTACATGGTGACCAGACTAAAACCCTATCCCAGGCCCCTGTTTAGGGTCTCAGACCACCATAGCCAATGGCCTAGTGTCCCACAGACATCTGGAATTCAGCCTGTCCCAGAGGGACCTTGTTGTCTCCTCTCTCTATCTATCGCTCTTCTTCTTCCAACTCTTCCTCCTGTAGGGAACAGGGGGGACCATGGTTTGTGCAGGAAACCTGGAGTCATCCTTCCCTTCTTCCTTTCCTCTAACCTCCATATCCACAATCCTGTCTCCTAAATATATCTCTCATGTCCATTCACATCTTCCCACTGCAACAACCAAACTCTTTTTTTTTCTTTTTTTTTTTAGACGGAGTGTGGCTCTGTCGCCAGACTGGAGTGCAGTGGAACCCTCTCAGCTAACTGCAACCTCTGCCTCCTGGGTTCAAGCGATTCTCCTGCCTCAGCCTCCCTAGTAGCTGGGACTATAGGCGCGTGCCACCATGCCCAGCTAATTTTTGTAGAGACGGGGTTTCACCACGTTGGCCAGGATGGTCTCGATCTCTTGACCTCGTGATCCGCCTGCCTTGGCCTCCCAAAGTTCTGGGATTACAAGTGTGAGCCACCACACCCGGCCTGTAACAAACTCTTGACGGGTCTCTCTTTGTCCAGTCTTGCCTCCCACTTCCATTTATTATGTCTCTCTGGCTTGAGGCCCTTCCATGGCTGTGTATGGAACACCCCACACCCCTCACCCCCCAGCCACCAGCCATCTGAATGGACTTCCTCCTCAGCCAGGGCAGTCTAAAATTTAACCTGAAAGACTGGTTCAGGCCATGAAGGGAAGCCAAGCCTCATTATACCCCTAACATCAACATCAACACAAACCTTATGTCTGATAAGAAACATTTACAGTCCATTCTCTCGAAAGCCTGCTACTGGAGGCTTCAACTGCATGATAAAACCTAGGTCTCCACAACCCCTTATCATAGCTCAGAGATTCCTTTCTGCTGACAATAACTCTTTCAACCAATTGCCAATCAGTTTATGTTCAAATCTAACTATGACCTGGAAGCCCCCCACTTCGAGTTGTCCCGTCCTTCCAGATCGAACCCATGTAAATCTTTTTTTTTTTTTCTTTGAGATGGAGTTTCGCTCTTGTTGCCCAGGCTGGAGTGCAATGGCGTGATCTTGGCTCACTGCAACCTCTGCCTCCCGGGTTCAAATGATTCTCCTGCCTCAGCCTCCCGAATAGCTGAGATTACAGGCATGCACCACCACACCCAGCTAATTTTTTTGTATTTTTAGTAGAGATGGTTTCTCCATGTTGGTCAGGCTGGTCTTGAACTCCCGACCTCAGGTGATCCTCCTGCCTTGGCCTCCCAAAGTGCTGGGATTACAGGCATGAGCCACCGCGCCCGGCCAGAACCCATGTAAATCTTACATATATTGATTGATGTATTATATCTCCCTAAAATGTATAAAAGCAAGCTGTACCTTGACCACCTTGCGCACCTGTCTTCAGGACCTCCTAAGGCTGTGTCATGGGCTTGTCCTTACCCTTGGCAAAAATAAACTTTCTAAAGGGACTGGGACCTGTCTCAGATATTTGGGGCTCACAAATCTCCATCACCCTCAGGACAAAATCCAAATGGCTGAGCAGAATTTCAAAGTCCTTTTGGGTCTGGCTTCTTTCCACCTTTGGGGACCCCAGCTCCCTGCACTCCCTCCCACCCTGTGAGCTCCAGCCAGCCTCACCCAAATGGCACCACTCACAGGCTGTTCGCTTGGCCTGGAAAATCTCTTCCTTGCTCATGGCTGACTTCAAGTCATCTTTCAGACCTGGATCCAGCTTCTCTCCCTCCAGGGAACCCTCCCTGGCTCCCCAGGGCTGGCTTAGCTGTGCCTCTCTGTGGGCTTGTCAAGAACCATGTGTTCAATGGCAGAGCCTTCATCCATGTGTTTTATCACTTGATTGCATCTCTGTATCCCAGGTTTCTAGAAGCTCTGTATGAGCAAGAACCTTGCCTGTCTTGCACTGCATTCCTAGAGCCTGGAACAGAATGCATTTGATAAATATTTTTGACTATTGATGAATCGAGACTTTTGACGAATTGGGTGCAGCCCAGGACTTGGGCAATAGCCCCTGCCTTAAGAAAGGACCAGGGCTCAAGCTCTAGGGTGAGAAGCTGAAGCTGACAGAGAAGTGAGAGTGACTAGAAAGTGAAAGTAAAGCTGAGCAGGGAGGAAAGAACCCCACGGTGTGAAGTCTCTGGGGGAGGGACCAGGCCAAGAGTTCATTCAACACAGTTGAGTGAGGCTCCTGAGGAAGCCGACGGGTGCCGGGATAGGCGGGGGATGTGTGGGCGGGACAGCGAGCTTGACGAAAACGAGAGAAAATGTGTTTTGTAATTAGTCATTGCCCCCTGGGGTGAGGTTGGGAGTTTTCACCGGAGGTGGGTTGACCAGATTTGCAAAATGACAAACAGGGGCTAACCGCGGGCTGGGGCCGCAGCGGGGCTTCCGGCCCCGCAGGCAGAAGTCGAGCTTTCTAGTTTTTTCTCTGTCCCGCCCCCCTGCATTCAAGGTTCCGCCAAATAGTAGAAACTGGGAGGAGAAAGACTCTCAGGAGACTGCCCAGGGGCCAAACTGCCCTTTCTGACTCCGGCCCCTGCGCTCTGCGTGGTCTCATGGCCAGGGGAAAGGGGACAGGGTGGCCCTTGCTACTTGGAAGGGTCCATCCAAGGATTTTGACTGACTTAACGCTGTGGAGGTTCTGGGGAAAGTTGAAAACATTCTGAAGATGGGGGATCTGGATGAAAGCTACCATCCCTCTTTTCCTCCTAATGAAAATAGCAGGCTGGGTGAGGTGGCTCACGCCTGTAATCCCAGCACTTTGGGAGGCTGAAGTGGGCAGGTCACCTAAGGTCAGGAGTTTGAGACCAGCCTGGCCAACATGGTGAAACCCCGTCTCTACTAAAACTGCAAAAGTTAGCCAGGCATAGTCTCAGCTACTCAGGAAGCTGAGACAGGAGAATCACTCGAACCCAGGAGGCAGAGGTTGTAGTGAGCCGAGATCGTGCCACTGCACTTCAGCCTGGGCGACAGAGCTAGACTCTGTCTAAAAAAAAAAAAAAGAAAAGAAAAAAAAATAGCAAAGGGAATGGAGCACATTTCGGTGTGAAGGTGTGAAGCGTATGGAAAAGTGGAGGTCAGTGGTTCCCCTACAGGCACTCCTGGGGTGCTGCAACCAAATGCTAGGACAGAGACCCCCACCCCCACCCCACTGCCGACACATACACAAAGGGCACACTTTGGTCTCCACTCCTCTATTTTCCAGAGCAGTGGCTTTCGAACATTTGAAATCAAGACCTGCACTAAGAAATGCGTTCCTATCTCAACCCATTACTCAGACAAGCATACTACCCTGAGGCAAAAACTTTATGAAATTAAACGTTCCTTTTAACCTGCACTTCTATTCTTACATTCTCTTCTATTTCCTTTTTTTAAAAAAAATTCTGGCTGGGCGTGGTGGCTCACGCCTGTAATTCCAGCACTCTGGGAGGCCAAGGCATGCGGATCACTTGAGGCCAGGAGTTCGAGACCAGCCTGGCCAACATGGCAAAACCCCGTCTCTACTAAAAATACAAAAAATTAGCCAGATGTGGTGGCAGGTGCCTGTAACGCCAACTACTTGAGAGGCTGAGGCTGGAGAATCACTTGAACCCAGGAGGTGGAGGTCAGTGAGCCAAGACTGTGAAACTGCACTCTAGCCTGGGCAGAGACTAGAGACTCTAGCCTGGACAGAATGAGACTGTCTCAAAAACAAACAAACAAAAAAATTCTGTGTATGACTATGATCCCTTAACTTGATTTCATGACCCACGAATGGATCTCAACCTACAACTGGAAAAACCCACTACTCTGGAGGAGCTGATTCCGTACTCTGCTGGATCTTCAATTCCTGACCGCTGGAAATTGGCTGCAATTTTCCTGGTGAGTTCCTCCCTCCATGTTCTCCTCACTAATACACCCTACACCAGACCTCCAGTCCTAAAAGCCACCACCTGCTTCACGTCACCACACCTGTGCCAATCAGATTTCCTCTGTTCCCTCTTGGACCTTCAGGGACCTCCAGGATAAATGCCAGGATCCCAGTTACTGGCAGACTGAGAGAAGGATGACAGCCCCAAAAGATCACGAGGTTCCTATCTGTTCATATTTGGTGGGCAGCTTTCGTCTGCAAGAACAAAATACAAGCCGGGTGAGGCGGCTCACATCTGTAATGCCAGTACTTTGGGAGGCCGAGGCAGGCGGATCACCTGATGTCAGGAGTTTGAGACCAGCCTGACCAACATGGCGAAACCCCATCTCTACTAAAAGTACAAAATTAGCCAGGTGTAGTGGTGCATGCCTGTAATCCCAGCTACTCGAGAGGCCGAGGCAGGAGAATCGCTTGAACCCGCGAGGCGGAGGTTGCAGTGAGCCGAGATCGCACCACTGCACTCCAGCCTGGGCGACAGAGAGAGACGCTGTCTCAAAATAAATAAATAAATAAATAAATAAATCAATAACAAAATACATAACTCAAGCAATTTAAACAGTGAGGGGTAAAACTGAAATCACATACCAGGAAGCCCAGAGGTCTGCGGTTCCAGGGTTGGTAAATGAAGTGACCACTCTATGTCTATTTCTCTCTTGTCATTGACACCCTTTGGAAGTGTCTTTTTCTACCTTAGTCTCAGTATGACAAGAGTGCTATGTCAGGGGGCTTTTGTAGGTAGCAGAAGGGAAGGGTGAGGCCAGGGTTTCAGCTGGCTGGGCAAGTGGGTGAGTCACTAAGTGGCTGGGCCCCTTTAGCCCCATGTAAGGACAGGCTGCAGCCACCCACTGCCCGCCCCAACTGTGTCTGGACAGAAATGGACATGTCTGCTTTGCAGCAGCCACGCCTCATGCTGGGATAAACCTATGAATCAGGAAGGCCACAGATGCTATCACCCGTTTCTCTCCACCAGTTACAGGCCCCGAAAGCAGAAATGGCTGTGGCCTCACCTACGAATCCTGAATGGCGAACCCAGCATCCTGTCTCTAGCTCAGTGCTGGATTCCCTGGAGCAGGAGTGCCAAATGTGGCAGTGAGGGAAACTCTTTGGTTCTCCCTTCCACTTTGGGCTCATTCTAAGTCTATTCTCTAGGCACTGAGACCCCTCATGTTGATTTCTTCTGCCTACATGGGCCTGTTGTCTGTCGGTTTTCCCAGGAAGAGCTGGGAACTTGAGGGTTGGGGTGGGTGGGTATAATGGTGGCAGAGTCTCCCCCGGTTTCTGTGTCTATGGTAGTACCTGATAGCACAGACCTTGCCTTAACCTAGGTCTAGTAGCATGTGGGACTGTGTGTGAACTGGAAGGAACATGAGTGCCACTTCCCTTACTATGTAGATGTGGAGCCCCAGGCTCAGAAGGGGATAGTGATTTGCCCAAGGCCACACGGCTCCTTAGCAGCAGAGGCATACACTGGGGTTTCCTGGACTTCAAGCCTCCACTCTTTTGCCACTCCCACCTGTGGGGATCCCTGCTTTGCCCCCTAATTGGCTCCACCTCCCAAAGTCATCATAAATGGCCCAGGTGAGAGTGGTGCCCTGTTGCTAGGGGCTACCGGGTCCAGGCAGTAACTCAGATGCCTGCCCCAGGAAAACCCTGACAGTGGAGGAAACGCCTGTGTTTCTATCCCAAGCTGGTTTGCCTCGCTCCTGCTGAACACAGTAAAAAGAAGGTAGAATCCACACTGCAGGCCCTGAGACAACAAATGCTCACCCTTCTGAGGAAAGCTGCCTTTAACAAAGGGGAGTAGGGCTTGGCTGGCCCTGGAAAGAATTTGCTACGGGTGCTGGTGTTAGGGAGGGTATGGTACCAGCCAGTGTGTAGGAGTTCTGCTCATGGGAGGGTGTACCGGGTGTGTGCTGATTCCTCTGTGTGTGCCCAGGAAGACGGCAGCTAGTGTAGACAACCAGGGAGTGCCTGACTGGCAGCTGGAATGCCAGGGTTCTCTCAGCCACCTGTCGGTCCTGTGACCTTGGGACTTAACCTCCCAGTCTCAGTTTTTCTCAGCTGCAAAATGGGGATGCTAAGAATCTCCTTCACAAGATTGCTAAAGAGGTAAAACGAATGGATGTGCATATTCTCCCAGCGGCTGGACAAAGTGGCTTATGCCTATAATTCCAGGACTTCAGTAGGCAGACGCAGGAGGATCACTTGAGCCCAGGAGTTCAAGACCAGCCTGGGCAACATAGCAAGACCCTGTCCCTTCAAAAAAAAATTAAAAATTAGCTGGGCATGGTGGCATGCACCTGTAGTCCCAGTTACTCAGGAGGCTGAAGGGGGAGAATCTTTTGAGCCCGCGAAGTCGAAGCTGCAGTGAGCTATGATCGCGCCACTGTAGTCGAGCCTATGTGGCTGAGAGAGACCCTGTCTTAAAAAAAAAAAAAAAAAGTTGTTCACCCAGGGACACAGCATGAGGGCTGCTCTGGAGGTAGGGGCTGGCATGGAGTTGTGCTCCTCCCCCCTGGGCCCTCACTCTGCCTGCGGGTGTCAGGCAGTGTGTGGTCTGGGGAAGGGCAGGGCAGGGCACAGCAGCTCCCGAGCCCCTCGTCTGTGATTTCCTTCCTGACTTCCTTGGCTGCCCAAGGCAGCACTAAATCAGGTCACCACATCTCTCTCCTCACAGTAGGTGTCATGCAAACAGCTCCTGCCCAGCTCCCAATCCAGGTCACCATCTCCCCACCCACTCCCTTTTCTGGCAGCCAAGGAAAGGGCTTCTTGGTGCTTTTATTCTTAAGTGGCCGTTTATTAGACCCTGGCTATGTGCCTGACACTGGGCCTATTGCTTTAAGTAGAAATAACAGGCACCATTTGCTGCATGTGATATACCAGACCCCATCATGAAATTATCCTCTTTTAGGGAGATATGATCACCTCTATTTTATAAGTGTGGAAACAGGCTCAGGAAAGGTATCTCATTTAAGGTCCCTGTGGCAAGTGCAGAGCCTAGGCTGAGACCTAGATGTGGAGATGTGGCTGATTCCAGAGCCTGTGTTTTCAGCCCCTGAGGTCCCATGTTAGGGGACTGGTGGCAGAGGGTGGGATGGGAGCTGGGGGTGCCAGGGGAGGGAAGGTGTGCCACTTTGGCCTCAGAAACCCCAGGGTCACTCCAGGAGACAAGGTGAAGTCTGAGGGGAGGAGGCTGGGGCTGAGGGAGGGGGGTGGGGGGGACACACACACACTCACCCAGACACACGTATGACACACACATGACAGGCCCACAGGCCAACACAGATGCCCACAGACAGGGACAAAGACCCACCAGACAGGCGCAGGGATCAACATGCACTAAGACACATACACAGACTCAGCCATACACAAAAGACAGACACAGCCGCGAAAATATACACCGGTGATGGACAGGCATCAGACATACAGACAGACCCTGCCACACCCGCACACACCCACGCCACACACCCCTGCTGGAGGGAAGGGAAGGAAGAGCCTCTGCCTCATTTCCGGGCCTCCTCCTCCAAAGCGGAGGGAAAAGCCTTCTGCAGAAGTGCTGAGTCAGCAGCGGGTGACAAATGAGCCTCCGGGCGGCGGGAACGGGCGCGAGCACTTAGCATGCAGAGCGCGTTCGTGCCAGCGCCAGCCCCGGCCCGCGGCGGGCGAGGGGGCAGGGAGCGGCGGCCGGCTGCCCGCTCGGGGGAGGCCTGGGGGAGGAAGTGACTCGCTTTGACTTTGCAAACGCCCGACTTTGCAGCCCAAGGTCACGCAGCAGGCGCCGCCAGCCGGCTTCCTGCAGGGAGGCGGGGTGGGCTCTGGCTGGCGCTGGGCGGCAGCCGGGCCAGGCAGGGGAGGGGCTGGACCCGGGGAGGGGAGGGGAGCAAGAGGAGGGGGTGGCCCTCCCAGTGTGGCAGGACTCCGCAAGAACAGACAATGGAACTGCGAGGAGAGGTCCCTGAGCGCGAGGGCCGTCTCAGAAATGCCCAGGGCCGGCCCAGGGAGCTGAGCGTGGCTAGAGCTGATCCCTGGGGTTCTTCTGCTCGCCCGAAAGCCCCCACTGGAATCTAGTCAAAGGGCACCTCGCAGCACGCCTGGGTTGCTGCAGCCGCCCCAGGCAGACTTCTTCCCTCCTGCCCCTCTAATTTATTCTTCACGGAACAGCCAGCGAGTTCTTTTCAAAACATCAATCACATCATTTCCTGTGATGGCTTCCCTCTGCCCTTAGAATAAATCCAGCCCCTCATTGCGGGTAACTCATCTCCGGCATGAGCCACTCTTGATTGTGAAAGGATGAGCTATTAAAAACGACACCAGGAGGACATGCCTGAACTGGGACTGTCCCAGCACCAGGCCCAACTTCTAGCCTGTTCCCACTGCGGCACTTCTGCCTACACCCCCCTTCTTTGCATGGCTGGCCCAGGTCTCAGCATGAATGTCAATGTCGTCTCTGCAGAGAGACCTTCCCTTGCCATCCACCTGCAGAGGTCCCTGCTCCTTAAGCAGTTATACTGCTTTATTTCCTTCATAGCTTTTACCACCCTCTGATTTTACCTTTTTTGTTTGTTTGCTTCTCTTTTGTCTATTTCCCTCCTTCAATAAAAGCTTGAGGGCAGAGACTTTCTCGGTTTTGTTTGGCTCTGCTGTATCCCCAGTACCTGGAAGAGTGTGTGGGACATAGTTGGTGCTCAGTAACATTAAATACAGAAATGAATGCACCAATGGGTGGCAGACCTGAAAGTGAACCAAGTCCTGGGAGGACAGCCTCAGGGACACATAACAAGGAGAGGGCCAGGGCCTGCGTGGGGGTGTTCCTGTGCAGGATCTATGGATAAGAGCCGCAGGGGCTTTGGGAGGCGGAGTGGGCAGATCACCTTAGGTCAGGAGTTCGAGACCAGCCTGGCCAACATGGTGAAACCTCGTCTCTACTAAAAATACAAAATTTAGCCAGGCGTGGTGGCGGGCGCCTGTAATCCCAGCTACTCAGGAGGCTGAGGCAAGAGAATCACTTGAACCTGGGGGGCAGAGGTTGCAGTCAGCTGAGATCATGCCATTGTACTGCAGCCTGGGCGACAGAGGGAGACTCAGCCTCAAAAACAAACAAACAAACAAACAAACAAACAAAAAAGGCTGCAGGGGCTCCTGACCCCTGAAAGCAGCAGGAAGGCTTTAGAGAAATCCTGAGCAGGCTTGAGAATCTCTGCTAGCTCTGTCTTTAGGCAATATTTACTATCTGGAAAGTAAGAATGAACACAACTTCTCCAGGGTTGTTGACGGCTCCTGGTCCTCTCCCAGATGTCACCTCCCTTCCTTGCCAGCTCCTAAGACACACTTGGCTCTGCTGGGAAATCCAGGAGTGAATTCCCTTCCTTTGTTTGTGAGTGTTGCACTGTTACAGGGGGCCATGATGGAGGCGTCAGCTGTGTTTCCACTCTGGGTCCTGCCAGGGTTGCCTCAGTTTCTTCCTGGATGGGCAGAGATTGAGCAAGGCTCTGCTGCTCTGAGGTGAACCTCTGGGAACAGGGAGGAAATCTGGCAAAATACAAAACCTACAAAATGTTCTTGCCCTGGCTTTCTGGCTTCAGTTGACTCCCAGCCTGGAGGACATTTTTTTTTTGCATTTGTTTTTTAATTCCTGTCTTCCCTATCCCCGCCCCAGAGTGAGGATCTGGTGAGATAATAATCATGATAGTGCTTTGAAAGTATCCCTGGCAGGCTGAGTAAATGGTAAGTCACACCTGTAATCCCAGCACTTTGGGAGTCTGAGGCAGGAGGGTCGATTGAGACCAGGAGTGTGAGACTAGACTGGGCAATATAGTGAGACCATCTCTACAAAAAATTTTAAAAATTAGCTCCTCGGGAGGCTAAGGTGAGAGGATTGCTTGAGTCTGGGAGGTGGAGGTTGCAGTGAGCTGAGATTGCACCACTGCACTCCAACCTGGGTGATAGATTGAGACCCTGTCTCAAAAATAAAAATAAATAAATAAATAAATAAAGGTATTCCTGGCTGAGGAATATAAGGGACTGTCATTATTACTATTTCTCTGCTGAGATTTACTCACATGGCTATGGGGCACAGAGGCTGTTGAGCCGCCTTTCTCCCATGTTCAGGAGGCCCCCCAGGAGCCAGTTTTTCTTTTTCTTTTTTCTTTTTTTTTTGAGACGGAGTTTCACTCTTGTTGCCCAGGCTGGAGTACAATGGCGCAATCTCGGCTCACTGCAACCTCCGCCTTCTGAGTTCAAGCGATTCTCCTGCCTCTGTCTCCTGAAAGTAGCTGTGATTACAGGTGCCCCCCACCATGCCCAGCTAATTTTTGTATTTTTAGTAGAGACAGGGTTTCACCATGTTGGCTAGGCTGGTCTCGAACTCCTGACCTCTGGTGATGCACTCGTCCCGGCCTCCCAAAGTGCTGGGATTACAGGTTTGAGCCGCTGCGCCTGGCCAAGCCAGTTTTTCTGACTCCTAACTCCCACCCCATCTCTGTGAGCTGGGCCTGCTGGTTCTGCTTCTGTGGAGAAAAGAGAAAGTGAAAGTGGCCCGGTGGAAGAGGCTCCCCTTGGAGCTCAGGGCCTGCTGGCGGCCTGTGGAGAGATCCCAGCAAGAAAGGGGAGCTCCTCCGCCCCACCCCAGGCCCCTGCCCTGAGCTGCCCGCACAGCCTTGGCCTGCCCTGTGGCTTGGCTCCTTCCTGCCACAGCCCTGGGCAGAACAGGCTGCCTGGGCAGCGGGAGAGTGGCCTGAGGCCACTGTTCCTGGTCTTCTGTCCTGACTCACCCTTCCAAAGTGGGTGAGAGGAGGGAAGGGAGGGCGTGGCAGCCAGGAGCTGTCCCCTGTGGGATGGGTTAGAAGCTGGAATGGCTGGGCCCTTGGGTCAGGATGCCACAGGGCTTCCCAGTGATATCACTGGGAGGCCCAAGGTATAGGTGTGGGCGAGGAAACTTAAAGGAACAAGATAATGCCATCAGCCGGCCTCTGGCACTAAGCTAACCTCAGGCCAGGCACCCTGCCAGGTGCTTTATCCACCTAGAAAACTTAGGGGTGCCTCAAAATCACAAGCTTCTGAAAAATACCTATGCCACTGGCCCTGCCCCGTTACTCCATTTATTCAATTATATATGTCTTTTTAAGAAACAGGATCTCCTGGCCGGGCGCAGTGGCTCACGCCTGTAATCCCAGCACTTTGGGAGGCCGAGGCGGGCAGATCACGAGGTCAGGATATCGAGACCATCCTGGCTAACACGGTGAAACCCCGTCTCTACTAAAAATACAAAAAATTAGCCAGGCATGGTGGCGGGCGCCTGTAGTCCCAGCTACTCAGGAGGCTGAGGCAGGAGAATGGTGTAAACCTGGGAGGCAGAGCTTGCAGTGAGCCGAGATCGCGCCACTACACTCCAGCCTGAGCAACAGAGTGAGACTCTGTCTCAAAAAAAAAAAAATAAAGAAAGAAACAGGGTCTCCTTTGGTCACTGCCCTACAGGCTGGAGTGCAGGGGCACAATCATAGCTCACTATAAGCTCACACTACTGGGCTCAAGTGATCCTGCCGCTGCAGCCTCATGAGTAGCTGGGGCTACAGGCACGATACCCAGCCAGTTTTTTTTTTCTTTTGAAGGGGTCTCACCATGTTGCCCAGGCTAGTCTCAAACTCCTGGCCTCAAGCAATTCTCCCACCTCAGCCTCCCAAAGTGTTGGAATTACAAGCATGAGCCACCACGCCCAGTCTCAATGAATATTTTTTTGAGTGCCCACAGTGCATCAGGCCCTGTCTAGACACAGGGACATAACCATGAAAACAGTTTGTTTGTTTGTTTTTGAGTCGGAGTCTCGCTCTGGTGCTCAGGCTGGAGTGCAGTAGCGAGATCTCGGCTCACTGCAATCTCCACCTTGCAGGTTCAGGTGATCCTCCTGCCTCAGCCTCCCAAGTAGCTGGGACTACAGGCATGTGCCACCATGCCCAGCTAATTTTTTTGTATCTTCAGTAGAGACGGGGTTTTATCATGTTGGCCAGGCTGGTCTTGAACTCCTGACCTCAAGTGATCCACCTGTCTTGGCCTCCCAAAGTGCTGGGATTAAGGCGTGAGCCACCGCGCCCAGCCGGAAACAGATTTTTAAAATCCCGGTCCTCATAGAGCTTACATTCCATTGGAGGGAGAGTCAATAACCAAAATACGTGAAAGTTTTAGTACATAAGATGGTGACATGTGCTATGGAGAAAAATACAGAAGGGAAGGAGGATAAGGATGCTGGAGTCGGGATGGGTTTGTAATTTTAAGAAGAAAGGTTGGAAAAAGCTTGCTGAGAAGGTAGCACTGATTCTAATTTATTATCTCTTCAATACTCACAAAAAGCCAAGGCACGGTGGCTCATGCCTATAATCCCAACATTTTGGGAGGCCGACGCGGGAGGATTGTGTGAGCCCAGGAGTTTGAGACTGGTTTGGGCAACATAGTGAGACCCCATCTCTACCAAGAAATACTAAAATTAGCCAGGAGTGTTGGCATGTGCCTGTAGTCCCAACTACTGGGGAGGCTGAGGTGAGAGGATCGCTTGAACCCAGGAGGTCAAGGCTGTGGTGAGCTCTGATCATGCCACTGCACTCCAGCCTGGGTGACACTACCAGACCCTGTCTCAAAAAAACAAAAAACAAAAAACAAAAAAAGCCAAGAATGCAGAATACAGTCACAATTATTAAGGAAGACGACACCAATGCCCAAGTAAGGAGTCCAAGGTCAGAAGGCTGAGAAGGGGCAGATCCGAAAGTCAAGTTCAGGTTATGTCTGTGCTTGTAACAACCACAGCATGATATTGGACACACAGAGAGAAAATGGAATGAAAAAGAAAAAGGAAGTAAGAGGGTGTATGGCCAGCCTTGCAATGGTGGCCATCTGTTTTCCAACTGAAAATCAGGACACGATCTGAAAGGATTTTCCTGTTGCTCGCAATGAGAGAGGCCGTCTGGGAGAGGCGATTTGGATGTGGGCCTGAAGGGTGGGATTTCTGAGACATTCCAGTGGCTTGTGGGGCCCACGAGGGAGTCCAAGGGTAGGGCATTTTCATGGCAACCTCAGTCTGGCCATTGGGACAGAAGCCTAGTGCAGACCTGGCAGAGAAACCGTGCTGGGCGTGGACCTGAGACTCGGAGGGCCAGGGGGCATGGGGAGCCACTGAGCAGCCAACACCGAGGGGACGAGGGGGCATGGTAGGGGGAGAGGGGAGTGTGTGGCTGGCAGCCCACACCCTAGGCCAATCTGGAGGATGGGCTGGCTGGTTCCAGGACGCCCCCTGGAAGGAGTCTGAAGGGCAGCTGTGGAAAGAACCCAACCTTTCCTGTTAGCCCAGCCTGGGTTTGAAAGTTCTCTCTGCCACTTCCTGCTCTATGGCCCTGGGCAAGTCACACAACTTCCACGAGCGTGTTTCCTCATGTGTGAAATGGGGAGAACAACGCACTCATAGGGTAGTTGCAAGGATTCTCATGCATTGAGATAACGCATGAACTGTGTTTGGCAGACTGCAGACTCCATAAATGAGTATTGCTGTTTCCCTCCACCCAGTGGGGCACTGGGGGCATGCCAAGATGGTGAGCCGGGTGGAATGGAAAGAATTGTGGGGCTTGGGAAACGGATGACCCAGTCACCCAGGGTAGTTTCAGCCTCCCAGCCAATTCCTGCACGTGGGCTGGGGCTTCGTCAGCAACAGAACAATACTCTTCCCCAAAGGCCGGGCCCACAGTGCAAGCCCTCCTCCCAGTCCCACCACTCTGCAGCTTTGGTGCCCTGGTGGATGGGCCTTGCCACCCACCCACCCCTTCAGGCATCCTGAGCAGCACCAGGGCCCATAGTGCCCTCTGCTCTGGTGAACAGCCAAGGTGCCTTCAGAAGGAACAGAGGGGCTCCCATAGCTTCTGCTGGGTGATCCCTTCCTTTCTGCCCAGCTGCCTAGGCGCCTTCCAGTAAACTCCATTGCTGCCCGCACTGTTGCTTCCGGAAGATTGTCCTTAAAGAAAGGAAAGAGAACCAGAAAGAACTTTTGCATCCCCCCACCACCTGCCCCCTACACACCCTTCCATGGGCTGAGCTGCATTCCTCCAGCCCCGGACGAGCCAAGGAGAGCTGGAAACCAGCCCAGCTTTTACCAATAATTCACCATGTGACCTTAAACATCCTTTCTAGGTCTCCTTGCCTTCATTTGTAAAGTGAGGGGTTCAGATTAGATCATCTCTAAAGTCTAGTCATAACCTCTAAATGATTGCATTCATCTATTCTTTTTTCTCTTCCTTCATTCATAGCACTTATACTTCCTGACATAGTATATTAGCATATTTCTTATTTGTTTGTTTATGTCTGTCTTAGTCCTCTCCAGCTCCCTGAGGGCACAAGTTTTTCTTTTTCTTTCTTTTTTTTTTTTTTTCACTGTTATATCCCTGCCACTTACAAAAAAGACAGTAGGAACTTATAACTGTCTGTGTACTGGAAGGAAACAGAAGATTGAACACTCAAATAGAGTGACCAAGGGTTCAAATAAGAACAGAAGGTGGGGTGCGGTGGCTCATGCCTGCAATCTCAGCACTTTGGGAGGCTGAGGCGGATGGATCACGAGGTCAGGAGATCAGACCCTCCTGGCTAACACGGTGAATCCCCGTCTCTATTAAAAATACAAAAAATTAGCCGAGTGTGGTGGCACACGCCTGTAGTCCCAGCTACTTGGGAGGCTGAGGCAGGAGAATTGCTTGAACCCGGGAGGCAGAGGTTGCAGTGAGCCAAATTGCGCCACTGCACTCCAGCCTGGGCGACAGAGTGAGACTCCGTCTCAAAAAAAAAAAAAAAAAAAAAGAACAGAAAGAACTGGCCGGGTGCGGTGGCTCATGCCTGTAATCCCAGCACTTTGGGAAGCTGAGGCAGGCAGATCATTTGAGGCCAGGAGTTCAAAACCAGCCTGGCCAACATGGTGAAACCCTGTCTCCACTAAGAAGTACAAAAACTAGCCAGGCGTGGTGGTGGGCACCTGTAATGCAAGCTACTTGGGAGGCTGGAGCAGGAGAATCACTTCAACCCAGCAGGCGGAGGTTACAGTGAGCTGAGATCATATCAGTGCACTCCAGCCTGGGGGACAGAGGGAAGACTGTCTCATGGAAAAATAAAATAAAATAAAATAAAATAAAATAAAATAAAAGAATATAAAAAACTATATATATATTTTTGTTTGTTTGTTTGAGATATAGTCTCATTAGTGCAGTGGTGTGATCTCGGCTCACTGTAACCTCTGCCTCCTGGTTCAAGCAATTCTCCTGCCTCAGTCT
The DNA here is from genome assembly GCF_000001405.40 of Homo sapiens. Classification (NCBI taxonomy): domain Eukaryota; kingdom Metazoa; phylum Chordata; class Mammalia; order Primates; family Hominidae; genus Homo; species Homo sapiens. Next base: position 76,949,047 of record NC_000014.9, on the reverse strand, counting down.
CCCAAGCAGCTGGGACCACAGACACGCGCCACCATGTTCGGCTAATTTTTTTTGTATTTTTTAATGGAGATGGGGTTTTACCATGTTGGCCAGGCTGGTCTTGAACCCCTGACCTCAGGTGATCCTCCCACCTCGGCCACCCAAAGTGCTGGGATTACAGGTGTGAGCCACTGTGCCCGGCTGTAAAGAACTATTTCTAAAGTTGTAGACGAAGTAAGGAGACCAATAAGGAAGGGAGATGCATCCCAGGGCTAACAGCAGAGTAGTGGGTGGGGCTGAGGGGGCGAGGCCAGGGAACCCTCCAGAGCTGTGGCTGAGCTAAGCTGCAGGAGAGGACCAGAGGACAAGAGCTGCAGGCATGGGCAGAGGAAAGCAGCCACTGGCACCCCATGCCCAGCAAGGAAGTGAGTGTGGGGTAAATACCCCGACCTCTTTATCCTTCTGCCCTCCAGTCACCTGCCACCTTATTCCATTGGCTGAATCTAACCCGAAGCCAAGGGGTAAGAACGCTCTGTGGCACAGTCCTGAGAGGTCAGGGTAAGGAAAAGGTGGAGGAGGGTGGACTATGGATCTAGAGAGGAAGTGTGGATTCAGGGCAGCACCTGATCAACATTGCTGAGCACTGGCTCGGTGCCGGAGTGCCTGTGCTGTAGCTGGACATGTGACAAGCAAGTTTAAAATCAAGGTCTCTGCCCACCAGGCAGCACAAACAGGATGCCTTGGCTGGGTCTTGGGGAGCCCCGCTTTCCCTCTGCCCCGGGGACTCCTATCCATATCTGATTTTTGGAAAAGCCTGCTTTGCAAAATTACACTGACAAATGGAAATTACAGGAGCACCGTTGAAGGGAGGCTGTGGGTGAGGGGAGGTGAGGGTAGGGAAAGGATTTGGAGGGCCTAGGCGGTGAGAACTGGCTGTGGAGCTCTGAACCAGCTCGGGAAGGTGACCTTGACATCAGTTGAGGCTCCAGAGTCTGAAAGGTTCAAATCCCACTCCATCACTCATTTACTGTGTGATGTTGGGCCTGTTCCTTGACACCTCTGATTTTCAGTTTTGGCATCTATGAAAATGGGGGGATGAATAGGACGTAGGAATTTTGTGCGGATTAAACGAGAATCTGTGCAAAGGGCTTAGCATAGTGCCTGAGCACAGGGCAAACACTTTATTATGATAATTAGAGGCCAAGGGCCACACTCCCCCCTTCCCATTTCTCACCCGACATGGGATCTCCACCCCCTTTCCAGCTCCATTTAGCTCTGAGTGTTTTAGGTCATTCTATGCCTGGCATTCTGCCAAGGCTTTGACAAAGACAGGAGTTTCTGCTCATTCATCCTAATGCAAGTTCCTGCGTTTATGATAATAGGGAAAAAATGCATGAAAGGGCTTGCTGCCTGCAGAGGGGAAATCAGCTTAGAATTGAAAATCGGAGTCCTTCCTTGGCCCAGCTTTCCCCTCCCTGAGCTTTGGCAAAGGCTGCAGCAGGGAGGGCAGCGGGGAAGAGAGGAGAGGAGAGGAAGGGGAGGGGGAGGGGGAGGGGGAAGAGCTGGCCAGTGAGGCAGAAGGGCAGGGTGGGGGCAGGGGCGAGGGCCCGGCGCACCCGGATGAATGGGTTTCAGGGTGGCTGAGGAAGCCTGCCAAAAAGGCCAAGTGAAAAGGCCGGCCCCGGGAGGCGCTGCGAGCGGTTTCCTTGGCGACACCAGCTGCTGCCTGGGCCCCGCGCTTGCCGGCTCTTTAGTCCCGGCGGGGCCTCGCCTGCCACCACATGGTTACTCAGCGCGGTAGGGAAGAAAAATCCCACGGGTTGCCTTGGCCCAGGTGTCACCAGCCAGTGCCACCGTGTTCTAGACACCATGCTGCCCCCTGCGTGGGGAGACGAGCACCTGGGAAGTACCCGTTGGTGCCTCCTAGAAGCACATACTTCACCTGGTCCAGTGTGGAAAGAGGGGCTGCCTTGCAGGGGCACGACAGGCTCTCCAAGGCCTACGGGCTTTTTCAGTGGGACATGGCAAGGCCAGTGTGTGTTTGTTAAAGATGGCTGTGCCTACGGAGGACTCCTGGAGGATGGGTGGGATGTGTACCCCGAGAGGCTAGGCCAGGCTTCTGTGGCTTGACCTAGGGCAACGGTAGGAGGTGAGTGATTTCAGATCAGAGTGATTTAAGAGGTACACATGACCAGGCCTGGTGCTTGGTTGGAAGAAGGGATGCCAGGGCTTTGGCTTGGGCAGCAGGCAGGTGGAGCCTGTGTTCCCCAGACAGAAAATAGGGGTTGGGGCCGGTCGGTGAACTGTCTGAAGAGAGGACCCCCTTGTCCCATTCTTTTCTGTTCCACTCCTCCCAATTCTCCCCCACCCCAGAGACTGCAAGGACTTGGATCAGGGTGGGGATGCCCAGGTTTGGTGAATGAATACGTGAAATGAGGAGAGATAAAAAAGTGTGTGAGGCCGGGCGTGGTGGCTCACGCCTGTAATCCCAGCACTTTGGGAGGCCGAGGCGGGCGGATCACCTGAGGTCAGGAGTTCAAGAGCAGCCTGACCAACATGGAGAAACCCCATGTCTATTAAAAATACAAAATTAGCTGGGTGTGGTGGAGCCTGCCTGTAATCCCAGCTACTCTGGAGGCTGAGGCAGGAGAATCGCTTGAACCCAGGAGGCAGAATTCGCAGTGAGCTGAGGTCATGCCATTGCACTCCAGCCTGGGCAACAAGAGCAAAACTCCGTCTCAAAAAAAAAAAAAAAAAGTGTGTGAAACAGCGCTGGGTGCGGTGGCTCATACCTGTAATCTCAACACTTTGGGAGGCTGAGGTGGCAGGATCCCTTGAGCCCAGGAGTTCAAGGCTGCAGTGAGTCATGATTGTGCCTCTGCACTCCAGCCTGGGCAACAAGGAAGACCCCGATTCCAAAAAAAAAAAGTGTCTGAAACAGGGTGGGTGTGGGGAGGGAGAGCATCAGGATAAAGAGCTAATGCATGCGGGGCTTAATACCTAGGTGATGGATTGATAGGGGCAGCAAACCACCATGGCACACGTTTACCTATGTAACAAACCTGCATGTCCTGCACATGTATCCCAGAACTTAAAATAAAAAATATATATATTTTTTGAGATGGAGTCTCGCTCTTTTGCCCAGGCTGGAGTGCAGTGGCGCGACCTCAGCTCACTGCAAGCTCCGCCTCCCGGGTTCACACCATTCTCCTGTCTCAGCCTCCCGAGTAGCTGGGACTACAGGCGCCCACCACCATGCCCAGCTAATTTTATGTATTTTTAGTAGAGACAGGGTTTCACTGTGTTAGCCAGGATGGTCTCGATCTCCTGACCTCGTGATCTGCCCACCTCGGCCTCCCAAAGTGCTGGGATTACAGGCGTGAGCCACCACGCCCGGCCCAAAAGAAAATATTTTTTTAAAAAGAAAGAAAGTGTGTGAAACCAACAAGAGATAGAAATGCACTCTCTCTAGATATTTATATACCATCTCCCTAGAGGCACCACCCAAGACTGCTGGGAACGAGGTAAAGTCACACCAACCTCTCACATGCTGACACATACTCTGATTGAACTTTGTCCCTTAAATGTGTCATTTTGGTTTTTTGGTCGTCTTAGCATTCAAATTGGCTTTCACAATTTTTTTGTTTGTTTTTGAGATGGAGTCTTGCTCTGTCGCCCAGGCTGGAGTGCAGTGGCGTGATCTTGGCTCACTGCAACCTCTGCCTCTTGGGTTCAAGCGATCCTCCTGCCTCAGCCTCCCGAGTAGCTGGAATTACAGGCACCCACCACCACACCCAGCTAATTTTTATATTTTTAGTAGAGACGGGGTTTCACTATATTGGCTAGGCTGGTCTCGAACTCCCGACCTCAGGTGATCCACCTGCCTCGGCCTCCCAAAGTGCTGGGATTACAGGCATGAGCCGCTGCACCCAGGTGGCTTTCACAAATTGATTGCAGTTCTATTTGGCTTTTACTCACTGTAGAGTTTCTTTCACAAGCCATGTGAGGGTGGAGTCCTTTCTCCTGCACCATAAAGCACATCTGTCTACCTGTGAGTGTGTGGGTTGCAGGTGCCCCTTGTTCTAAGTAAGCAGATACAGCAGATAGGTATTTAACCCAGAGAACCAGTTAGTGTTGACCTCGTGCTCTACAGAAGAAATCTCTGCAGCTTTCCTGCAAGGCTGTGAAGTGACAGCACGGCTCAGTGGACACAGAGCTTTACAGGGACACCACTACCTGTGTCATTTTTATGGGGGACTAGCTGGCCGAATGTACACTTTATCGGAATCCTGCCATCTACTCTTATCTTCCAACCTATAACATGCCTGCTACTTGGTGATGAAATGGGGGCTGGGGGCAGGGGCGAGGGGGCGGGCTGTGCACATCCAGGCCTGCCCTGTGTCCGTAATCCTCAGACTTTACCTGATGCCCTTTGTAACAGACTTCCTCACCCAAACTCCTCTCCCGAGACCAGTTTTAGTGTTTGCAGGACCCTTACTTACCACCATCTGTAATTGTTTTGTTGTTTACTTGTTTATGATGAAATGTTTATCGCTCACCTTTAAGGTTTTAGTCCCTAGAAAAGTTTCTGGCAATCAGGAGGACTCAGTTTTGTGTTTTTTGTTTTGTTTTGTTTTTGAGATGGAGTCTAGCTCTGTCACCCAGGCTGGAGTGCAGTGGTGCGATCTTGGCTCATTACAATCTCTGCCTCCCAGGTTCAAACAATTTCTCCTGGCTCAGCCTCTCGAGTGGCTGGGACTACAGGAGCGTGCCACCACACCCAACTAATTTTTGTATTTTTAGTAGAGATGGGGTTTCACCATGTTGGTCAGGCTGGTCTCAAACTCCTGACCTCAAGTGATCCACCTGCCTCGGCCTCCCAAAGTGCTGGAATTACAGGCGTGAACCACCGTGCCCAGCCCAAAAGGCTCAGTTTTTGATAGAGGAATTAACAAGTGAATGAGTGAATGGGCAAACTAGGAGAAGTGGCCAGTTTTTCTTACATGCACTCCTCCTCTGATTGGGTTCAGGAGGCCCTTAGGCAGTTTTCATGTCCATCTTTCTGTTTCCAAGGAGGACTGGATTCCAAATACCCCTGTAGGGGCCGGGTGCAGTGGCTCACACCTGTAATCCCAGTACTTTGGGAGGCCCAGGTGGGCAGATCACTTGATGTCAAGAGTTCAAGACCAGCCTGGACAACATGGTGAAACTCCTGTCTCTATTAAAAATACAAAAATTGGCTGGGTGTGGTGGCGTGCACCTGTAATTCCAGCTACTCTGGAGGCTGAAGCACAAGAATTGCTTGAACCCTGGAGGTGGAAGTCGCAGTAAGCTGAGATCAAGCCATTGTACTCCAGCCTGGGTGACTGAGTGAGACTCTGTCTCAAAAAAATAAAAATTAAAAAATGAATAACAAAAAACAAATACCCCTGTAGACTAGACAAGGGCAAAGCTGTTATTTATCACCCACAGATATTACTTGTGTCCCTATAAGTGCCAGACCCTCTGTGGGATGCAGCAAAGACAGCAGTGGGCAAGACAGCCAGGGTCCCTGTTCTCCTGCAGCTACCGTTTTAGTGTGGTAGACAGACAATATGTTGTAAGTGATACATACATATGAAAAAAGGCCTGTAACAGAGAGTTAAAAAGGCCATCTAATTGAGATAGGGCAGCCAGGGGAGGTCTTTCTGAGAAGGTGACATTCTAGCTGAGCCCTGAAGGTTGAGAAGGAACCAAACATGGGAAGAGCTAATGGGATGATGTTCCAGGGAGTGGGGCCAGAAAGTGCAAAGGCCCTGTGGCAGGAAACAGCTTGGGATGTTCCTGGAAGGCCAGAGGTCAGGAAAACGGGCAGAGTCCAGCGTGGAAGACCCATATAGCCCCTGGCGAGGAGTTTGGGTTTTACTCAAAGTGCACTGGACAATCATTGTAAGGGTTGCCTAGGAGAATTACATAATCGGACCATGCCCTGGCTTCTAGGAGCCAGTATTGGGTGGATTGGGGATGGGGTGGGAAGCAGGATACATCTCTGGAAGTACAGAGCAGTTGGAAGGTGGGAGGGAGGGGAGGTTTAGACAGGTTAGGATGGTGGCCATAAGGGTGGAGAAAAGTGGGTAGAAACGAGACCTGCATGGAGGTGGGGGTGGGTTGGAGCTGGGGAGGGAAGAGGATGAGTCTCCAGGACTTCTGGGTTTCTGGCTGGAGAAACCCAGCAAACCTGGTAAACAATGCAATGTCCAGCTGCTGTCAAAGAAGACCCGATGTTTGTTGGGCCTGTGAGAACTTTCCTGAGAGTCTTATAGATTGGGAAATAAAAGCTTCCACTCCTGCTAAATAAAGAGCCCCGTGTGAATCGCGCCCTAACCGTAGGTGTCTTTGAGGCACAGTGTCACAGGAGCAGAGCTTGGGCAGCAGTGATCATCAACCATTCAGCATGGTTTTGAATCATCTCATTCTTTCTGTGACTGTCCCCAATTCTAACATTTGAAAGCTGGTTGACTGAGAGAGCACTTTACCTTTGAAAGGCCTTCCCGCAGAAAGGGGAGCAGCTTTGTGGCCCCAGAGGGCAGAATCAGACAGTGAGAGGCATGGGGGTAGAGACTGCAGCTCAGCACCAACAGGAAGAGCTTGAGTAATGAGAGCTTTCTCATGGGATGAGCCTCCCATCGGTAGGTGTACTCAAGCAGAGGTGGACAGGATGCTGGGGTGTCTCCAACCTGGCAGCCAGTCAACCAGGAGACTCAATTCCTGTGGTTGTGAACACCCTTTTCATCTTGCTTCCCTGCATCTCAGGAGGATAACAGCTGCCTCCTATCCCCTGCACTAAAACCCCTCTGCTGGCTAAGGACAGCAGCTAAGTCACATCTAAGCCTGCCCTGCTTGTTCTGGGTTTAACAATCTCAGTGTTTCCTCCCACCCACCCGCTCGCCCATGGCCAAGAGAAGAACAAACCCCAGCGTAGGTGGAGAAGTGGGGGCCGGGGTGATGCTGTGCAGGCCTGTCCAAGGCCTCCTGGCTTTTCAGGAAAGGGTGTCCTCATGTCTGTGGGACTACCGAAGCCAGGCTTGGTTCCCTGAAACTCCTCCGCCCACAGGTCAGACTCCTGCAGGGACAATCAAGGGTGTCATGGGTGTGAGACGGGGACTTTCCTGGTCAAGCCTTCTGGACACCCCCCTCCCCTCATCCCAGCTGCACTCCCCAGAACAGCAGCAGCTGCCACTAGATAGGAAGGACCCCACCTCTGGTGTCCTTGGGGAAAGGGGCCTTGCATAGGCGGTGACACAAGCCACTTGGTCCCAGCTGCGGGTGAGGGGAGGGGCTAACACTTCCAGAAGACCCTGAACTCTGGCAGGCCTGATTGCTTTGCTCCAGGGCTGGTCTCAGCTGCTATCATGGATCCCTGGGAGCAGCTGGAGGGAAGAGAGATGGCATCCAGCGCCGATCGATCGTGGGAAGAAGCTGGCCCCTTTGGGAGGTAGCCCTGGGGCATGGCAGCACCACTCCTATCTAGGCTACCTCTGATGATTTTGGTTCTTTCTTTGCATTTCTGAGTCTAAGTTTTCATATCTGGAAAATGGGGATAGAACAATATCTACGTTCTGTGAGAATGGAGTGAAACGATGGACAAGACAAGCCTAGCACAGTTCTGGCACACCGTAGGTGCTGGATGAGTTTTCTCCTAGAATTTTCTTTTTTCTCCATACTCTCCCCTCTGTTACCGTCTGTAGAAGTGGAATTGCTTACCAGTGGTGGGGATGCTCTTGTAGGGAGAACGAGATCCTTCTGGTTCTGAAATATCCCTGCCTTTGCTGACAAGATTACAAGCCTGTATTGCTTTTTGCTTTTTTTTTTTTTTAATTGAGACAGAGTCTTACTCTGTCACCCAGGCTGGAGTGCAGTGGCTCACCGCAACCTCTGCCTCCTGGGTTCAAGCAATTCTCCCACCTCAGCCTCTAGAGTAGCTGGGATTACAGGCGCCCGCCACCACGCCCGGCTAATTGTGTGTGTGTGTGTGTGTGTGTGTGTGTGTGTGTGTGTGTGTGTGTGTGTGTGTGTGTTTAGTAAAGATGGGGTTTCACCATGTTGGCCAGGCTGGTCTTGAACTCCTGACCTCAAGTGATCTGCCCGCCTCAGCCTCCCAAAGTGCTGGAATTACAGGCGTGAGCCACCAGGCCCGGCTGTTTTTTTGTTTGTTTTTTAGAGACAGGGGTCTCACTTTGTCACCCAGGCTGGAGTGCAGTGGTGCAACCATAGCTCACTGCAGCCTCGATCTCCTGGGCCCAGGTGATCCTCTCACCTCAGCTTCCCAAGTAGCTGGGACCACAGGGGTGCGCCACCACACATTGCTAACTCATCATTTCTATTTTTATTTTTTGTAGAGCCAGGGTCTTGCTATGTTGCCTAGGCTGGTCTCAAACTCCTGGGCTCAAGCAGTCCTGTCTTGGCTTCCCAAAGTGTTGGGATTGCAGGCATGAGCCACTGCACGCGGCCCAAACTTGTATTTTGTTAACATAAATAAATGATAGAGAAGGCAGGCGAGAAGCGTAGCTGCCAGGCTGTGGGCCCACTGTAGCTGCCCACGCTTTCCAGTGGGTGCTGTGGAAGGGGAGGTCCTAGGTGGGGTGGGCTCCCTACCTCCCCTGACTGTGGCCCCGCAGCTGGGGAGGGATCTGGAAAGGGGATCATGGGCATGGTGATAGGAGACTGGTATTCCAGACTTCCCAGGTTGGGAGCCCAGTTGAGAGAGGAGGGGGGCTGGATGGGAGCCGGCCCTGGGGGAGATGGGGAGGGGCTAGGGGCCATTTGCTCTTCCAGCCAGCTGACCCTGTTATTTTTAGCCCTGGAATGCTCCTCCCAAGCCCCCTTCACTTCTATTTATCTTGCTTTGGAGTCTTGGTTCTTTCCCAGAAATTCCACATGAGGGGAGGCAGAGGGGATTGAGGGTGCCAGGAAGAATGGGACACACTGGCTGGGGCTGGGCTGAGGAAGAGGAGGAAGCTGCTCTCCTTCTCCCCACCCCAGCCCAGAGGCTGCCTTTTCCTCCTTTCTCCATTTTGGCTGGAAAATGGAAAAAACCTGGCTCAGAGAACACTCAGCTGTCACCAAGTTATCCTTCCTTCTTCTCAACCACCCAGATGAGACCTCCATTGTCCCCAGCCCAGGCCTTGGCTGCCCATCCTCTCACTTTTCCTTCAGGGAGCTCAGGGGACGGTTGGGGTGGTCAGGAAGGGTTTGCCTTGGAACCCGTAGCTGTGCATCAGGACACACTGGGGGTCCCTGGAAGGAGTTCCTGTGTGAAAATAAAAGAAGGGCCAGGTGTGGTGGCTCACGTCTATAATCCCAGCACTTTGGAAGGCCGAGGCGGGTGGATCACTTGATCCCAGGAGTTCGAGATCAGCCTGGGCAACATAGTGACACCTCATCTCTACCAAAAATTAAAAAAATTAGTTGGGCATGTTAGCACGTGCCCTGGGAGGCTGAGGTGGGAGGATTGCTTAAACCCGGGAGGTCGAGGCTGCAGTGAGCTGTGACTGTGCCACTGCACTCCAGCCTGGGCAACACAGTGAGACCCTGTCTCAAAAAAAAAAAAAAAAAGAAGAAAAGAAAAGAAAGAAAAAAAGAGAAAATGAACAGAATGAACAGGGGCAGTTAGAAAAGAATTGGTATGAATGCTGGAGGTTTTCTCAGCACTCCCTGAGCTTCAGTTGCATCCTCTGTAAAATGGGAATGACAACAGTTCCCTCTCTATGAGGGATCTGCTGGGGCATGAGCTGGTGAATAGATGGCACCATTTACACGTGGAAACCACTCCATCAATGTCGCCAGTGCTGGCAGGATGGGCCAATCCCAAGGCGGGTGTGCTTTTGGGTACTGATGGGGCCTGAGCCTCCTGAAGGCCACACCCCTCCCCAGCCTACTTTAGTTGCTGTCAGGCTGCAGAGTGCTCTGCTCTGGGCTCTTGGTGTTTTTCTTTTTTTTTTTTCTTTTTTTAAATTTTTTTATTTTTATTTTTTGAGACAGTTTTTCCTCTTGTTGCCCAGGCTGGAGTGCAATGGTGTGATCTCAGCTCGCTGAAACCTCCGCCTCCTGGGTTCAAGCGATTCTCCTACCTCAGCCTCCCGAGTGCTGGGATTACAGGCATGTGCCACCACGCCCTGCTAATTTTTTGTATTTATAGTAGAGACGGGGTTTCTCCATGTTGGTCAGGTTGGTCTCAAACTCCCGACCTCAGGTGATCTGCCCGCCTCGGCCTCCCAAAGTGTTGGGATTACAGGCGTGAGCCACCGCACCCAGCCTGCTCTGGGCTCTTGTTACAGGTGAATGTCACTCACTGGCAGCTCTCCCTGCTCCCCCCAGCACAGGGGTGAAAGTGGGCAGTAATTCTGGGATAAGGGACACTTTGAGGCAAGGTAATCCCCTCCTGCCAGTCCCTGGAGGAGAGGAGGGGAGTGTGCCTCTGAGGCTCCCCAGCAGGGTGGGCACGCTTTCTCTTCCTGTCCTGTTCTCCAAGCCTCCTTGTGGGAAAAGTCCATCAGCCCTTAGGGAGGGCCGGGCATCACCTGGAGCTGGCGCTAGGGAGAGAGGCCAAGGCAGTCAATGAAGAGCCTTGGTGGGCCCAGTGCTGAAGGAACGGTGGAATATTCTGGTCATGAGTCAGTCAAAAATGGCCAAGCTCCAGGCCTGGCGGTAGCCTTGGGGGTCTATGTGTAGAAGAGAGGGTGGACATGCCTGGGCCAGTTCTGGATAAAGGCAGGGGATGGGGAAAGCCATCTGGGGCAACCACTGTCCCCCTGGCATGGGATTAATGCCACTTAGAGGTGGAAAAGAGGCAGCAGCTGCCATATCCCAGGAAAGTCACTGACCTTTAGAACAGGAGACAGAAATAGCCCTGGAGAGTTCAGAATCCTGTGTGAGAGAGGTGGCCAGGCCAGGCAGGGCAGGCCCCAACATGAGGAGGGGAGGAGAACCATGTTAGTACCCACTGTGTCAGACATGATGCCCGGCATTTCACAGGCCTTCCTCACTTACTTTCCACCTCCAGCCAGCAGGGTATGCATGATTGTCTCCATTTTATGGATGAGGAAACTGAGGCTCAGAGAGGCGTGGCCAAACTTGTCGTCAGCAGAGTTGGGGCTGAGCCAGACCTCGCTTGTCTGACAGTCCACGTGTCCCCATGGCTTCCTTCACCCCCAGCCCAGTTGCTGCTGCCATCATGGGTGTTGGATGGGGTTATCCAGCTGAACCTGTACTCAGCTAGCCTGGTATAGGGGGGTGGAAAACCTCTCATTGAGGCCTGGAGGCTCCAAAAGGTGAAACTCAACTACTTCTGCTTATGAAGTCACCCCAGAGCCTCTTAATCTTGGCAGCCTTTGGCCAACTTTCCTTTTCTCCCTTGCTCACGGAAAGAGGGACTGCCAACATTTCTCCCCTTACGTCACCTCAATTGTGCCAGGCTCAGGGCTAGGTGGAACCCCTGGAGACCCCTCCCCTGTGGCAGTGGCAAGGATAAGCTTGGGGGAAAGGGCCCAGTCAAGCCAAGGTCTGAGAGGGTAAGAATAACAACGTGTTAAAATAACACGCTGACTGGCTGGTGGGCTCCTCCTCCCTTCCCTGATGGTGTTCCAGCCTCAGCAGCTCCCAGCTGTTTCTGCTTATCTGAAGCCAGGGAGACTGGTTGCCTGGATACCAGGCTGCTGATTCGCAGTTGGGTCCTTCAGGGGCAGGCAGAGCTGCTGCATCTCCAGCCAGCTGGGCGTGGCACCCTCAGCCCCCTGCACCGGCCCTGGGAAAGGTGGCAGGGAGGACTGGGGGTCAGGTGGGGAGCGCTGATGGAAGAGACCCCTTGTGCCGGAGTTGTTAGAGAATCTGAGCCCTGCCGTTTGCTGGCTGTGTGACCTTGCTCGTGCTAACCTCTCTGAGCTTTTGTTTCTTTATCTGTGAAGAGGGGATAAATATCCCCTGCCTCGAAGAGCTGTTGAAAGAATAGATGTGGGCTGGGCACGGTGGCTCACGCCTGTAATCCCAGCACTTTAAGAGGACAAGGCTGGTGGATCACTTGAAGTCAGGAGTTTGGGACCATCCTGGCCAACATGGCAAAACCCCATCTCTACTAAAAATACAAAAATTAGCTGGGCGTGGTGGCACATACCTGTAATCCCTGCTATTCAGGAGGCTGAGGTACAAGAATCACTGGAACCCGGGAGGGAGGTTGCAGTGAGCCGAGATTGTGCTGTTGCACTACAGTCTGGGCGAAAGAGCCAGACTCTGCCTCAGAAGAAAAAAAAAAAAGAATAAATATGATGAGTAAGTGACTGCACAACAGAGCACTACAGCTCAGTAATCCTGACAGCCTACCCAGCACCGTTGGGCCCCATCCAGAACCTTTGGTCTGCATCCCACAGGGAAGCCATGCGGGGTCACTGAAGCAGGCAGCTGGGGAGCCTCAGAGGAGGTGGCCTCGAGCCTGCTTCCATCCTCTAGGGATGGAGGCTATGACCCAACCTGGGGCCCTCAGAACTTAGCTGGGGTTGAAGGGCCAGCCTGGGGATGGGTTGGGGAAGACTAGGCCAGACAGCAGGCCGCTGATGGCATCTTAGGTGATGAAAGGAAAGCCAGCTTTGTGTCCAACCAATGGTGAATGTTCCCGTTCAGCATCCTTTCCTGGCAAAGGGAGAAGTTGCCGGATTGCAGGTGGAAGACTAGGGAAGGAGGCAAGAAAGCCCAGCATCGTGAGCTGTCTAAGGTCCCTGTCACCTGCCCTGGTTGAGTAAAGAAGACAGCAAGACTGGGCTGGGCGCAGTGGCTCACACCTGTAATCCCAACACTTTGGGAGGCTGAGGTGGGCAGATCACCTGAGGTCGGGAGTTTGAGACCAGCCTGGCCAACACGGAGAAACCCTGTCTCTACTAAAAATACAAAATTAGCCAGGCATGGTGGCAGGTGCTTGTAATCCCAGCTACTCGGGAGGCTGAGGCAGGAGAATCACTTGAACCTGGGAGGCGGAGGTTGCGGTGAGCCGAGATCACACCACTGCTCTCCAGCCTGGGCAACAAGAGCGAAACTCCATCTCAAAAAAAAAAAAAAAAGACTGCAAGGCCAAGGGAGCAGGAACAGGACCAAGAGGACATGTCCTTCTGGTCTGCTCAGATCTAGTGGTCCCCATGTGACCTTTTTTCACTTAAGAGATGAGTGAGGCAAGCTCAGGGCTGTGGGCTGGGGGCTGGCAGAGCTGGGCGGGAGAAACCTGAATCTCCTCTGCAGGAAGGGCTGTTCCCAAGCTCATCTGCTGGCTCTCCCGAAACCTCTCCAGAGCCAGGCCCATGGAGCAGGCACTGGGTCCAGATGAGAAGCAGCAAATAACCATGGGCTCTCAGTGGCCCCGAGGGGTGTGCAGGGCCATCACAGACCCTCTTCTTCACCCTCCTGACTTAGGAAAAGGGCAGCGAAGAAAAGGGCAAGTGGGAAGGGAAGGGAGGGGGTGCTGTTTCACCAGGGCCTGTACCTTTTTACTCCCTTAATGCAGCAGGAGAGCAGCCTGTGCCTGCTGGTAGCAAAGAGACCGGAGCCCATGAATAATGCAAAGAAGAGCATGGGGCAGCTAGAAAATGGTTACTGTTTCGTCAAAGTGGGGAATGGGCCTGGAATGCAAAACAGAGGGGAGACAGGGGCTGGAGTGGAGGCGAGGGCTTGGTGCTGCCCTTGGGCCACTGGGCTGAGGGACTCGCCATTCTTGTGCTGAGCCCAGCTCCTGGCTCTGGCCTCTCTGTGGCATCAGTAGCAGCCCAGGGCTTGCAGACTGGGCAGAAGGGTTGGGCCCTGCCCCAGGCCTGGCCTTCTGTTAGGGCGACTGGAGGCAATGGCCACCCATCATATCTTCACAGAGTTGCTGGCACTGGCAAGCAAAGTAGAAGGGAGGTTTGGCGGGAAACTGAGGGAGCTTCCAGAGATGTCTTATCAGGATGGGTGGGGCACTTCCAGCTGCTTGGAAGTTTGAGAATTGGGGAAAACTTAGGGGTCAAGGAGTATCATTTAAGAGTCAAAAGAAGGTACACTTTGGGAGGCTGAGGCAGGCGGATCACCTGAGGTCAGGAGTTTGAGACCAGCCTGGCCAACATGGAGAAAACCCATCTCTACTAAAAATTACAAAGAAATTAGTTGGGCGTGGTGGCACATGCCTGTAGTCCCAGCTACTCAGGAGGCTGAGGCAGGAGAATTGCTTGAACCTGGGAGGCTTAGGTTGCAGTGAGCCGAGACCATGCCACTGCACTCCAGCCTGGGTGACAAAGCAAGACTCCGTCTCAAAAAAAAAAAAAAAAAAAAAAAAAAAAAAAAGAAGAAGAAGAAGAAGAAGAAGGAGAAGAAAGTAAATCAGTACATCTATAAGGATGGATTTGGAGTAGGTATGAGTGGAAAAGGTACCGCCTGTCCTCACTGCCTTGTCCCCGGTGGGCAAGAGAATGCCTGGTTACAAAAGGCCTGAAAGTTATACAGCTGCACTTTTTTTCCTGAGTTCCATGAGAATCCGTGGAAGGATTTTACAGGAGAGAGACAAGATCGGATTTAAGTGTGAGCAAATCATAGATAGTTTTATTGTATTGTCATGGGAGATCAACAAACCATTTATTATGTATTTGCCTCCTTTTTTTTTTGACGTAGTCTCGGCTCTGTTGCCCAGGCTGGAGTGCAGTGGTGTGATCTTGGCTCACTGCAACGTCTGTTTCCCCGGTTCAAGCGATTCTCCTGCCTCAGCCTCCCGAGTAGCTGAGAGTACAGGCATGTGCCACCACTACGCCTAGCTCATTTATTTTTCTATCTCTCTTTTTTTTTTTTGAGACGGGGTTTCGCCCTGTCGCCCAGACTGGAGTGCAATGGCATGATCTCAGCTCACTGCAACCTCCGCCTCCTGGATTCAAATGATTCCCCTGCCTCAGCCTCCCGAGTAGCTGGGATTACAAGCACCCACCACCACGCCCAGCTAATTTTTGTATTTGTTTTTAGTAGAGATGGGGTTTCACCATGTTGGCCAGGCTGGTCTTGAACTCCTGACTTCATGATCCGCCCACCTCAGCCTCCCAAAGTGCTGGGATTACAGGTGCGAGCCACTGTGCCTGGCCCGTACTTTTTTTTTTTTTTTTTAAGTACTGTTCCCACTTGATGGATGTCTCTGCTTCTAAAGCTTGTTGGTCACCATGTGATTTGGGAAGGAGGGGACACGGGGTGAGTTAAGGGGACGAGTTAGGGGACTGGCAGAGTAGTGCAGGTGCAAGAGGCTGGGTGACCAGAGGGCCTGGGTAGGGGTAGGAGGCAGGAGAGCTGTTCAGAAGGTCGAAACAATCACTATTGGTGACGTTCTGTGTGGGTGGCCACCAACAGAGAAAGAGGCATCAAAGGAGACTCCCGAGTTTCTGGTGTGGGTGTGGCTACTGGGTACCAGGCAGATAGGGTGCCTCCAATCCAGAAGAGAGGCCCTGGAAGCTTTGGTGCAGGAGGATAGTGGGGAAGATGCTGAGTTTGAGATTCCTGGGTGACAACCAGATGGCAGATGGAAATAGGGCCAGGAGTTTGAGGCTGGGCCTTGCTGCTAACATGGGCACTGTAGGTACAGACAGGCCTTTGCTGGTTCTGGGCTCGCCTCCCCACAGCGCGTAGGAGAAAAGGGGCCAGGTGAGGAATACAGATTCTATTAAAGTCCCTCCAGCTGGGCCCTGGGGCTACGGGTAATTCTGTCACCCAGCGCTGCCTGGAGCAGACCCTCTCTGCTTTTGCTCCCCAGCCCTCTGAAGGCCAAGGCATCCCAGGCCTTTCTTTTTTCTGCCTGCAGGTGGGCTTCAAGCAGCCTCAAGAGGAGTCTTTCCCATGGCAGGACTCCCCAGGAGAGAGGCTTCCTCCTCACGCCACTTTGTCCTCTGGCAGCAACAAGTCTCAGGGGCTGAGGTATCCCCTTCCCTTGCAAATCCCAAGGGGGCACCTGAGGTGTTGCTTTTGGGTGGAGAGGGAGCACAGGCTCTCAGGCTGATGAAAATCTCCTGGGGGTGAGCGTTTACTGCTCTCCACAGCTGCCTCCCACCCCTCTGGGGGCCACTCTCCTGCTGACACCCAGCTCGGCACAACTGTTCCACCAAGACGGTGTCCACAAATGCATCCCCAAACGACAAGTGCATGCAAATCACCCAGTTACAGAAGCAAATAGCAGTCCAGAGAGAAGAAGAGCCGGTGAGTGGCCCAAGCTAGGGACGAAAGGAAACAAGCTGAGATTGCAGGTAGGGGGAGAGGGAGCTCTTTGGAGAGGCCCAGAGGCAGGAGGAGGCTAAAGAACAGTGAGGAGGTGGAGAAGAGGAGGCTCTGGGGGCTGCCGGGAGACAGAGGGTCCCAATGACCTGGCAAAGGTAGACTGGTGTCAAGTGGAATGGGAAGTAGAGGGATGCAGATCAAAGGGGCCCCGGCAGGGTCTAGAAGACTAAGTATCATTTCACTCCTCCCTGTACCTACTGTGTTCCAGGGGCTGGTCTGAAATGCAGAGAAGGGATACAGTCCTGTTCCTGGAGTAGTTCACAGCTGTGAAGGGCAGAGACAGGGCAGGACCCCAGAATATGGACCCCTGGCACAGGCTGGAAGGTGCAGGAGTAGTGGTTGGTGACCTGGAGATGGTAGGACCCAGCTGAATGTATCCAGAGGGAGAAGTGGCAGACATCCAAGTAGAGAAGGGGTCGGGGAGACCCAGGGAGCAGAGCAGCCATGCAAAGGTGGAGAGGCAGGAGAGAGCCAGAGGGCTTGCTGGAGCTGCGGTGAGTACAAGCGTGTGTATCGAAATGCACAGAACAGCAAGAAGTGAGACAAGGCTGTCTAGGCAGGTATAAAGCACTTGCCTTGCCAAATGCCCTGTGTGCTCTGCTGTGAATACTTGGATGCAGTGGAGCACATTCAGATGACAGAGAGTGACAAGGTAAGATTTGTGTTTTGAAGACAGTGTGGTGTGCTGGAAGACTGAAGCTAGAGGGCAGCTGGTTAGGAAGCCTTTGCAGTATTTCATGCTAGACGTGATGGAGGCCGGACAAGATACTAGTAACAGCCATGCTTCCATGCCAGGCATTGTTCTCTGCCTCTTTACAGAGTAGTTCACTTGATCATCACAATAGTACTGTAAAGTAGGCACCGTACTACTTTTATGTCCACTTTGCAAGTCAGGAAACTCAGGCCCAGAGAAATGAAGCAACATGTTCAAGTTTCCTTATTAAAGCCCCAGAGTTGGCCAGGCTCAGTGGCTCACACCTCATTGCACTCCAGCCTGGGCAACAAGAGCGAAACTCTGTCGCAAAAAAAAAAAAAAAAAGAGAGAGAGAGAGGGGAAAGAAAGAAAGACAGACAGACAGACAGACAAAGAAAGAAAGAAAGAAAGAAAAGCCCCAGAGTCTGTGCTAAATGGGAAGGCCCTGGCTGTCAGCATGGTGAAGAGGAGACAGACAGGCAGATGTCAAGGAGGAGCAGTCAGGCTGACCTGAAAGCTTCTTGGGAGTGGTGGGGATAAGACAGAGGGAAAAATCAAAGATGAGGGTAAGGGAGAATCCTGGGTCAAATAGCTCCCCCGCCAAATTCATGTCCAGTTGGAACCCATGAATGTGACCTTATTTGGAAATAGGGTCTTTGCAGATGTAATCAAGTAGAGATGAGGGCATACTTGACTAAGGTGGGCCCTAAATCCAAAGACTGGTGTCCTTTTTTTTGTTTCTTTGAGATGCAGTCTCACTCCACTGTCCAGGCTGGAGTGTAGTGGCATGATGTTGGCTCACTGTAACCTCCACTTCCCAGTTTTAAGTGATCCTCCCACCTCAGCCTCCTGAGTAGCTGAGACTACAGGTGCGTGCCACCATACCCACCTACATTTTTTGTATTTTTAGTAGAAATGGGGTTTCACTATGTTGCCCAGGTTGGTCTCAGACTTCTGACCTCAGGTGATCTGCCTCCACCTTGGCCTCCCAAAGTGCTGGGATTATAGCCGTGAGCCACCGTGCCCAGCCAAGACTGGTATCCTTATAAGCGGAAGGAAACTTGGACACAAATACATGGGGAAGGCTTTGTGAAGATGGAGGCGGAGGTGGGGTGATGGAACACCCAAGATTGCCAGCAAACAGCAGAAGCTAGGAGAGGCAAGGAAGGATTTTTCCCCAGAGCCTTCAGAGAGAGAGAGGGCTCTGCCAACACCTTGATTTCAGACTTCTGGCTTCCAGAACTGTGAGAGAATAAATGTCTGTTGTTTTAAGACACCCGGTTTGTGGTCATTTGTTATGGCAGCCCAGGAAACCAATACACTCTCCCCATCTTCAAAGAAACCAGGCCTCTGCAAGGAGAATGGTAGCACATCCACCTGAGTCAGGTAACATTCAAAACACGGAGGGGCCAGCCGCAGTGGCTCACGCCTGTAATCCCAGCAGTTTGGGCGGCTGAGGCAGGCGGATCACGTGAGGTCAGGAGTTCAAGACCAGCCTGGCCAACATGGCGAAACCCGTCTCTAATAAAAATACAAAAATTAGCCCGGCATGGTGGCGGGCACCTGTAATCCCAGCTACTAGGGAGGCTGAGGCAGGAGAATCACTTGAACCCAGGAGGTGGAGGTTGCAGTGAGCCGAGATCACACCATTGCACTCCAGCCTGGGTGACAGAGCAAGACTCTGTCTCAAAAACAACAACAACAAAAACAAACAAACAAACAAACAAAAAAAACACGGAGGGAAAGGGCAGGCAGATCCTACAGGTGAGGCTTGAAAGAAAGAGTGGAGCCGACCTGGGAGGCCCTTGAAAATGAGCTTCTGACAGTGTAATCACGAAAGGTCTTGACGCAAAGGAGAGAGGGAGGAGCCTGAGAGACAAAGTGGATCATCGCAGGCTGGCAGATGAGCTCAGACTGGGGAAGGACACATTCAAAGCTGGAGGAAGGGCACAGAACCAAGGGCAGGAATAAAGGAGCAGCAGAGACAGCAAGAATAGAACCCGGCACGCTGCAGCCTGCACGGAGCTGAGGCTTGCAGAAAGGGCCAACCGCAAAACAATTTTTTTGAAGGTGGGGGGAAGGGCAAGTAGGGAGCTTGAAAAGTTTTCTAGAAACAGGAAGACCTGCCTGGGGGAGTAAGGGCTAATTTGGCACTCAAGAATGACAGATATACCCAGATGCTATTTGTCATTGATCTTCTCTATAAAGATAATGGGGGGCACACATTTTTTTTTTCATGAAAAGGGTGGCACAAATATTAGCAGAAGGAAATTCAAACCCAATTGCTTTGTTTTGTTTTGTTTTGTTTTGTTTTTGAGACGGAGTCTTGCTCTGTCTCCCAGGCTGGAGTGCAGTGGCGCAATCTCAGCTCACTGCAACCTCCGCCTCCTGGGTTCAAGCGATTCTCCTGCCTCAGCCTCCTCAGTAGCTGGGATTACAGGCATGCGCCACCATACTCGGCTAATTTTTTGTATTTTTAGTAGAGACGGGGTTTCACCGTGTTAGCCAGGATGGTCTGGATCTCCTGACCTCATGATCCGCCCACCTCGGCCTCCCAAAGTGCTGGGATTACAGGTGTGAGCCACCGAGCCTGGCCCTGATTGGGTTTTAATGAGATACTTGTAAGATGATGAGATCCCTGTCATAGGAGGTATTCAAGCAGAGACTGGATGAGCCTTTAATCAGAGGTGTTGTAGAAGAAAGTCCTCTGAGACTTTAGAGCGGACACAACTCCTTGCTCATTGTCAGGCCATCTGACCCTTAGTTATGCTCCAACATAGGGAAGACAAGTGGGGTGGTTGCCTAGAGCTATGCCTGCTCTGCATTGGTGAGGAGGCAGCAAAAAGACAGTCTTGCCACAGGGCCACGGCTCAGACTAGGTAGTACCAGGGAAATCATAACCCTGTGAATATGATGGTTTTCTTGCTGTGAAGGTTTTGTGATGGTAAAAGTACTAACTTAAGTTTTCAGCTTTGTTTTTGTTACCAAGCACTGAATGCAACACGGCATCAACAAATCACCCAACCCTCCCCATTCCATGCCCACCGTCCCATCTTTGGCCTCCCTCCATCCTTGACCTTCTGCCCATCCCTGCCTATTCGCAGTGGCCTTGTGGCTGAGGAGCACAGAGGAGCAAGGCAAGCCCCTCTCCCTGGTGGCAGGGGGAGTCAGGAACGGTTCCCTCCTTTCTCCTTTCCTTCCCTCCTGTGTCTCCCCTCTTTGTTCTCCATTTTTCCCTCTGCCTCTATAGCTGGCAGGATGAGCTGGCTGGGGATGAGCCAGGGCAAGCCCTTGCCACCCCTGTTGTCTGTCTGTCCATCAAAGAGGGGGATGGTGGGATCATTAGGAGGATCTCGAGAGCCCCTTTGCTCCCACAGTGCAGGATGCACACTCCTCCCAGCCATGCCAGACCTGGCTCTCCTCCACTCAGGTTTCCCCAGGAGGCTGGGTCTACTCCTTGTGTGTTGGCTGCAGGTTGGGGAAGAAAACAGAGAAGTGTGCCCTTGGCTGAGGACAAGAATCTGCATGATGTTTTCTTTGACCTTGAGAATGCCTTTTGCTTGCCCTGCAGAGCAGGAGAGGAGCTGGAACTTTCCCGTTTGGCTCTGTCAGCCAAGTGCAGCTTTCAAGTTCTCTAGGGACTGCTGTATTTTCTCATGAGTGAGTCAAATGCTCAATCTGAGGCCTGGGAGACAGGGTGGAGGAGGGGAGTGGGGAAGGGGACACCAGCATCTACCTTCGGTTGGGAGAATTAGGCTGAAGCCTGCCTGGGCTACTGGTATGTGTCCTTAGGCCACCAACACCATTATCATCTCAATAAACAGCATATGCAGTGTGCTGGGTTGATAGCGTTTCTCTCAGGTTCCGACTTCAGATCTCCGGCTCCTCTTTCACTGGACGGATTCCAAATACTACAACTCCCTGTGTGACAGCTGGAGAATCACTGCACCTTTCTGGGCCCCATTGAGTGACAGAAGATCGGAATGGATAGTCACATGCCTGCCCCAGCGTGGAAGGAGAAGAGCCTATACTTCCATCCATTCTGGCCTCTTCCAAGTTCCCCTCATTTTTCTCTCTAAGATCAAATAAATAAACATGTTGTTATTCTTTTTATACATTTAATATATGCTCATGAAAGAAAAGTAGCAAGGGCCAGGTGTGGTGGCGTACACCTGTAATCCCAGCACTTTAGGGGTTGGAGGCGGGTGGATCCCTTGAGGCCAGGAGTTCCAGACCAGCCTGGCCAACATGGTGAAACTCTGTCTCTAATAAAAATACAAAAATTAGCCAGGTGTGGTGGCACACGCCTGTAGTCCCAGCTACTCGGGAGGCTGAGGTGGGAGGGTCACCTGAACCCAGGAGGTTGAGGCTGCAGTGAGCTGAGATCGCACCACTGCACTCCAGCCTGGGCGACAGAGGGAGACTCCGTCCCAGAAAGAAAAGAAGCAAAAAGGCTATAACAAGAGTCACCACCTAGAAAACAATCACTGTTCACATTTTGGAATGTGTTATTTTTTTCTCTCTACCCATTCATTCCTCTGGCAGACACTGATGACTCCTCCGTGACAAGACAGGCAGGGTTCCTCCCTTTCTGGTGCCTACATGTCAGTGGGAAAAATTGTACATAAATCTATATAGCATCTACAGACAAACAAGACAGGGCTCTCTACGGAAGTCCCTTCTCCTCTCTCTCTGTGTCTATTGCCATTGATTTCCTCCCCAAGAATCCTTCCTTTTCTTCTACACATCTATGCTTTGGCAGAAAAGGGCTTAGTATACCATGAGAGGGTGCCAGGGGCCCAGGCCTGGGTGGGCTGCATGCTGGGACTGTGCCCCTGGGGAGGGGAGAAGCAGCCCCGCCCTTGGCAGAAGCGAGATTCATTTGGGTCCTTGTCTAGAGTGCTCAAGGCTGTTAGTGCCCCTGCCTCATGTCAGCAAAGCCTCACTCTGGTGGGTGGAAGGAGAGCCTCTGCAGAAGTCAGGCCCAGAGAAGGGTCTGGTCACCTGGCCAGGTCACAGGAGCCAGGACCTGGTTTGTTCCCATGAGGCTTGGGACCTCTCATGGCCCTTTCTTTGCACCCCAAGTAGTGTGAAGGAGGAGGAGGGTGTGCTCAGGCAGCTGAGGAAGGAAGGGAGAGGCAGAGGAGGGAGGAGAACCAGACTCGTTTCCAAAGCAACCACACATGTGAGCCAGCTGCTGTCACCATGGAAACAAGGGGAGCCTGCTCAGAGGCTGCACTGTCTCAGGGGAGACACAATTTTTGACCAAAAAAAAAAAAAAAAAAAAAAAATATATATATATATCCTTTGATAAAAATAAAGAAAAAATAATGAAAGCCACACTCTCTGGGATTCGGGGGCACTGCAGAGTGAGGTGACAGAGAGGAAGGGGCTGGGCTTTGCAGAGGATGCTGCGGCTTCTGCTGCTGCAGAGAATTGCCGAGTCAGTGTTTTAGAGCCAAAGGGGGCCTCAGAGACCACCCCCCCTTGATGGATGAGAGTGGGTGCTGGGGAGGGAGGCTGGCGGCCCCTGGAGGTCCCAGGGCAGGAAGAATCAGCACAGGGAAACCCAAGGCCCCTGGGAGAAAGGCAGGGTCACGCTGGGTCTGTGGGGCTTTTCTTTTCTTTTTTCTTTTTTCTTTTTTTTGAGACGGAGTCTCTCACTCTGTCGCCAGGCTGAAGTACAGTGGCGGGATCTCGGCTCACTGCAACCTCTGCCTCCCGGGTTCAAGCGATTCTCCTGCCTCAGCCTCCCGAGTAGCTGGGACTTCAGACACCCGCCACCATGCCTGGCTAATTTTTGTATTTTTATTAGAGACAGGGTTTCACCATGTTGGCCAGGATGGTCTCGATCTCCTGACCTCGTGATACACCCGCCTCGGCCTCCCAAAGCTCTGGGATTACAGGCGTGAACCACTGCGCCTGGCCTGGGGGCTGTGCTTTTCATGAGCTGGTGTGTGGAGCCAGGAGGGAGAGAGAGGCAGGCGGGCAGGTGCAAGCCCCTTTAGCTGGGACAGGCGGTCCCGCAAATGTCTTGGCCTCTTTCTTCCTCTCCCTTTGCCCCACCCTTCTGCTAAGCTCAGCCTGCAATGTTCTGGCTGCCTCCCTGGGGACAAAGCTGGGTGAGCCCCCACCAGTTGGGCAGGCCTCAAACTCAGTTTGGTGGGCATGGGACAACAAGAAGTGCTCCTGGCGCACTGGTCCTTGACTAGATATTTGGCCATAAGGAGATGCTCTTGGTAGGAGTCAAGTCAGGAAAGATCAGGAAATACACAGGACAGGAAGGTGGGGGCCTTAACAAATCTTTTTTTTTTTTTTTTTTGAAGGAGTCTCGCTCTGTTGCAAAGGCTGGAGGGAGTGCAGTGGCGTGATCTTGGCTCACCACAACCTCCTCTTCCCAGGTTCAAGTGATTCTCCCCTCAGCCTCCTGAGTAGATTGGGACTGTAGGCATGCACCACCATGCCCAGCTAATTTTTGTATTTTTAGTAGAGACAGGGTTCTACCATGCTGGCCAGGCTGGTTTCGAACTCCTAACCTTATGATCCACCCGCCTTGTCCTCTCAAAGTGGTGGGATTACAGGCGTGAGCCACCGTGCCCGCCCCCATTTCTTTTTTTTAATCACAAGGCTTTCTGAACTGCGGGGTTCTATGCAGTAGAGCTGGGCCTGGACCAGACGGGAGGCCAAGGGTGGACGCCATCCGAGTGTCCTCCGATTTCACTAGAAGAGTCTCTGCTTTTATCTCTTTTATATGCTTTTTTTTCCCTTTCATAAAGCACTTTCCTGAATGTCATCTCATTTGCTTCTCTCATCACCCGTGAGAGGAGATGTCCCCATCCCTTTTGTGAGGATGAAGACACAGCCTCAGAAAGGTTAAGTTCCATGCCCGAGGTCACAGAGCTCCCAATCAGCCAGAACAAGAATCCCAACCCCAGTTCCGGGTGCCGACCCCATTTCACAGGTGGGGGAGACTAGACACGCCCAAAGGTGTGCTTCCCGGGCAGGCAGGATCGTCCCTGGCCTCTCCGAGAAGAGCCCAGAGTTGCAAGGAGACCCTGCCCCACGACAGTGACACAGACTGGCCCAGGTCAAGGGCACATCTGGGGGCAGTGATCTGGCAGCCTCTTTGTCCTGGAGCTCCACCTACTCTTTCCCTAGGGCTTTGTGCAGCCTCAGCTGAGAGCCCTGGAGATGAGGGTGAAGGGAGGGCGGCAGCCACAGGGAGCTGGGCGGGTGGGACTCTGCCAGGGCAACGGGGGGTGGGCAGCAGAGAGGGCGGGCTCCAGCTTGACTCTGCCCTCACCTCTGGGAGGCTGGTGCCTCTTGTCAGCTGCCCTTCCCTCCCCCCATCCCCCAGCCTCTAAGGCAGCGACCACGTGGGTGAGTTGCCATGGAAACTGTGGAGTTCTATTTGAAAGCAATACACGGTGTAATGTGAGATGGCTTGTTGGGGGGTGATGGGGGATGTGATAGGCAGGTGGGGCATCTACACCTGTTTGGCTAAAGTCCTCCCAGCTCATCTCTTTCCACCAAAAACTGTTTGGGGGCCAGGCCACCTTCTTTCCCACAAGATACTCGCCTCCCACAGTCCCACCGCCAACCACCCACTTTCCCCAACCCCGTTTGTAATCTCAGGCAAGAATCCCTAAGCACTGTCCTGACTACCCCCCACCCCAGAGAAGAAGCCATTATCCCTGTGACATAACACTAGGCGGCAAGAAACCAAGGAGGTCATTTTTGCCATACAAGGGACAGGACGGAGCTGCAGGGATTATCTGGATTACAGGGCACCTGTGTGGGAAGGGGGTGGGCAGCACTGGGGGTCCCACTGCTGCAGAGATGAACACGTGAACCCCCTTCTCCCCCTCCCCACCGAGGTTTAACAGCAAGGCCGGCCAGAGTCCGAGGGCTCGCAGGAAGCAGGAAGGCGGAGTCTAAGGAGAGACGGGCTTGCCATGGCCTCAGAATTTCCCTGAGACCCACACCCAGTCCCTTGCTGGTCCTGGCTCACGCCTGGTTTAGGCCCTGCTCTTGGTCTTGCCTGCTGTCACTTTTGCTGTGTCCTCCACTCCCAGTCCCACCCCCAGTCCAAGCGATAGCAGAAGAGTTCTGAATTTTCTCCTCCATTTGGCTGTGTGACTTGGGGTAAATTGCCTAGCCTTTCTGAACTTCACCAGCTTATTCCGTGAAACAGGGACAGGGAAAAAAAAAAAACCTGCCTCATAGAGTTGCTGGGGGATTAAATGAAACAATGTATTCAAAGTGCTTAGCATAGCGCCTGGTGTCAACAAAAATAGAAGTATGATTACTATTATTATCCATCCTTCAACACTCAGAACAAACCCCATCTCCTGCAAGAAGCCTTCCTTTCTCTGAGGGAGGAACTAGGGCTCAGGCGCAGCTGCTGTGTGCCAAGAACTTCGATGCGTTTTCTTACTGCGTCTTCACAACAGCCCCAGGAGGGCGGTGCTGTTTTCATTATCCCCATTTTACAGAGGTGGACACGGCGGCGCAGCGAGCGTCTTGCTCAAGGTTGTTGGCTAGTAAGAAGCAGGTTCAAGGTTCAAACTCAGCCTGTCTGGTTTTAAAGCTGTGTTTTTTCTACCATGATGTGCACCTCATAGATGGTACAAATCCTCCCCCAGCCATTTTCCTTCCAGTTCAAAGCAGGTCATCATTGCTTCTGATTTCTTTCTTGCCTTCTTTTTGCCTTGATTCCCTGCACCAGGGCAAAGAATAAGGAGGTAAGCCGAATGCTCAGGGAGGGTCAGGAACTCAGACATCTCCTGGCTTACTGGAAGCTTATGCAGCAGGGAGCTGGAAGCCAAGCTCGGGTGTTTGTGAGAAGCAGGTGACCCAGGTGGGGAAAGGGTTCCAGGTGCTGGTTGAGGTGGGTTGGACGAGGTGGGCTGGACTCCAACAAACTCTCCCCAAGCCCACTCTGATTTTCTGCTTAGCTCTGGCCTTGGTCTCTAGACCCCAACTTCCCAGACCAGGCCTGGTGAGGGCTTGATGGATGATCTTGACCTGGTTTTGCTTTTTGGGGGGCTTGAACTGTCTCCTTTAAGGAAGAAGAGAGAGATTGAGGGAGAGAGAGTGAGAAGGTTGGGGGAGAAAGGAGAAATAGGAGGGAAGAAGGAGGAGGGAGGAAATGGAGAAGGGGAGGGAAAGACAGCCGGATGGAGAGGGGAGGACAGGGAGGAGGGGAGGGAAGCCAGCCCTGTGTGGTTGTGAGCTCCGAGGCAGAAGAAAGGATGAGAAAGCAAGAAATCAGCTTCAAGGGAAGGACGAAGGGGGAGGGAGCCGACGTTGGTGGGAGAGTGCGAGAAAGAGGAGGAGGGCGAGAGAAAGAGAGCGAGAGAAGGAGAGCGAGCTGGGGG
The DNA here is from genome assembly GCF_000001405.40 of Homo sapiens. Lineage (NCBI taxonomy): Eukaryota > Metazoa > Chordata > Mammalia > Primates > Hominidae > Homo > Homo sapiens. The sequence continues at coordinate 76,922,704 of NC_000014.9, read as the reverse complement.
AAGGGAGATGAGAGGGTGGGGAGAGGCCTGGGGAGAGAGAGGAGAACAAAGGCAGAGATTGAGCGCTGCTTTCTCCCGCCACACGCAGAGGCCTCAGTGGGCTCTGAGGGGCTGAATGAACCTGGAGCCAGTCATGACTCAGCCTTGGGGCTCTCCTGCCCCACAGACAAATCCTTTCTGGCTCAGCAGTTTCTACTCTATCGAGTGGGGGGTACCATCCTCCACTGTCCATCCTCCGCTGTCCTCCATCATCCTCCACTGTCCATCCTCTACCATCCTCCACCCTCCATCCTCCACCATCCTCCACTCTCCATCCTCCACCCTCCACCATCCTCCACTCTCCATCCTCCACCCTCCACCTTCCACCCTCCATCCTCCATCCTCCATCCTTCATCCTCCACCCTCCATCCTCCACCATCCTCCACCCTCCATCCTCCACCGTCCTCCACCCTCCATCCTCCACCATCCTCCACCCTTCATCCTCCACTGTCCTCCACCGTCCATCTTCCATCGCCCTCTGCCATTCATCCTCCACCACCCTCTGACATCCATCCTCCACCGTCCTCTACTGTCCACTCCTTTCCTGGGAGGGAGTCTTCCCTGAGGCCCTGATAAAAGCCCCGTCCCCACCTCCCAGGACTTTGTGGCTGGTACCTGCCCTGAGTTCTTCCAGTTGCACTGTCCTGGATAACCCTTCTGGAACCTTCCAAAGAGGCAGAAACTGGTCGCTGTGCTGGAGGAGTGAGGAGTGGGTGTGCATGCAGCCTGAACAATCTCCTTGTCCCCCAGCTGCTGAAGCCTGTCACCTTTCTAAGGAGTTAGTGCCCAGGAACCAGCTTTTCCTTAATAAAAGAACTCAAATGTATTGAGAGCTTAGCAGGAGCTCAGCAAGTTTTATGTTGTATCTCATTTAATCCTTCACAGCAACCCTAATAGGTCATGGCATTCCAGTTTCCAGAAGCATAAATGAGAGTTAAGGAGGTTTGGTTATTTGCCCAAGCTAACATAGCTAATAGGAGGAGGAACGCTGGTGTCTAGCTCTCATCTCCCAGGGCCAGAGGTCGTGGTCCTCCTGGGGTTTGAACCCAAGGCAAGGGCTGAGGCAGGAGAGTATGGGATTAGCTAATGGCTTATGATGGCTTGGGCAAGTCTTGGAAGTCTCTGTACCTCAATTTCCCCATCCAGCATCTCAGTTGCTGTAGGAATGGTGGGAGGGAGAGGTGACCCGAGGAGTCAGGACACAAGGTCAGTAAGGCAGCGTTTGAGGGTGGTGTCTTTTTGCAGGGAAGAAGGCCCCAGGTACCTGGGAAGAAAGCTCTGAAATGGTGTTCCCCTGCCAGCAGCCTTATCAGCATCTTCTGGGAAGACCAGATGGATGGTAATAAGGCCCCGTTTTCATGGGGCTTCCAAGAACCTTTCTCCAAAGCACTTTCATATATGGGTAAACACACACACATGCACACACACACACACACACACACACACGCCATTCTTATCGTTAAAGCCACTTCCCATGCATGTAAAGTCCACCTGACTTCATTTTATATGGCTGGGCTCCCCAGCTGGAGAAGGCCAAGGTCACATAGTTAGCAACAGGGAGAGCAGATACCACCCGGATGCATAGGTAGTGACAAAGTTTCTGTCCTCAAAGCACCTTGTGAGCTCTCAGGGAATCAGTAGGCACACAGCACCCACTCCACACCGGGCCGCAGCCTACCCTCCCCCACCCCCACGGTACCTGGGGGTCATCCTGAAGACCGTATGCATTGCCATGGACTCCCCGGGCACCACCCTGCAGCCTGCCCATGCCCCTCTCCAGCCTGAGCTGCTTCCCTCCCAGCCCAGAGCCCTGGTGAATTCCCCCGTCACCTTCCATCAGGGTTCATGTTAGAGCTCCAGTTTGGAAAAGGACTTCCCCCTCCTCCTCCCCCAACCCCCTGCCCAGATGGCAGTTCCCCTTCCCCAGGGACCAGTGATGCAGCAGCTCGTGTAGCCTGCAGTTGCCATGGTGATAGCCCTCCTTTGGCTTTCCATGGGGTGGGGGATGACAGGGAGGGTGTGAGTGTGGTGAGTGTGTCCCATTTTCCGCTCCAGGTGAGGAGAGCTTATGGAGTGGAATCCTACCCTCCTCGAGTGGGGTCTGCTCCTCCTCCCAGCTGGGACCCAGCCAGCTCAGTGGCATCGCAGCAGCTGGGAAGACTGGAAGACAGACAGGGACACTGGACTGAAGAAAGATGTCCCAGAAGGAGCACTGGAGGTGGGGGGTGGACATGGCCATTGGCACAGTTGCCAAAGGATGGAGGCCGGAACCTGGGGTGGGAGCCAAGGCATCGGGGAGCTGGGAGGAGGGACAGGCTGGAGCCTCAGAGCCTCGGAAGAGACCCGGAAAGGGTGGGCCCCTTATTTCTGCCATCCACCCAAGGAGTCTCCCACTGCGCTTCCCCAGTCAAGAGAAGGCCCCTCTGCTCTTCCAACATGATCTGTAATTTCCGGCAGACATTTGAGGCCCCTGACATCTGCATAATGTGGGCCAGTCTCTTAGCAACGGGGAACAGCTGTCTGGCATTTCCAAGATTAAACTGTAACTATACGCGGTCCTTGCCAGGGGGAGGGGGTGGGGGAAGGGGATAAACACTGCCTCCTGGCATTTTCAAACTCATTTAGCTTTTATTCATTTCCTGCCTCCAGTAAAGAGGCCAGGGATTCGGGCTGGGCTGTTACTGCCCCTGCCACCGCCGCCTGCCACGCCGCTGCCACCACCTCCGCTGCTGAGGTTGCAGATGGCTCTTCCCCCAGATCTGTTTGCATGCGGGTGGGGGAGAGATAGGAGACAGCACTCGCTCTTTTTTTGTTGTTTTTATTTTATTTTATTTTTTGTAAGTGCTGCGATCCTGGCATACTGTGTAGCTGCAGCCCAGGAAGAAAAGCCAGTGTGGCCCATCAGTTAAAGCCTCCAAGTCAGCTCGAAGCTGGATTAATTCCATCAAGCTCCGTGGCTAAAAGCTAGCTGCGTGACCTTGTGCCAAATTCCTTCACCTGCCCACACCTTCACCTCCCTGTCTGTATAAGGACATAATTCTACCCTGAGGTGGCTCTGAAGACTGTGTATGCACTCAGGCAATGGATTCATGATTAATAATTGTGGTTCTCTGCTCCTTTGGTCACCTTCCAGCCGCCATCCTCTGCTAGTGACCTCGGGCTCTGCTACTGGGGCAGAGAGACACAGGCCATTTCTCTGGGAGCTGCCACCTTGAACTCCGGTTCCCTGGGGCCCCAGGCGATGACATTTTTGCCCTGCAGTACTTAACCAGGGCTCAGCAAGCCCTAGCAGGGCCCTCTCTGTGGCTGGCCAGAGGTGTCCTCATCCCCTGGCCTGCTTGGGCCAGGCAGCTCCTGTTTCCCAATTGCTCTGCCAGCTCCTGCCACTTGGCTACAGCGCCTGAACTCGTGAACACGGTGTTTTGGTTTTGCAGCAAGAAGGAAAAATAAAAGGGCGGGTGTGGGGCCCGGACAGGAGGGTGAGAGGGAGAGAGAGGAGGAGGGAAAAACCCTCCAGCCGCCTGTGCTGGCCAGTTCCAGGAATGTGTTCTCGGACATCAGTGCCAAAGCAGTGACCCAGGCGTGGCGGCCAGGCCGGGTCTGGAGGCCTTCCCAGGAGAAGGGAGAGGCCGGCTCAGGCTCCAGGGCTGAGGCTGCCTCGCCTCCCGCCTCCCCCACGACGCCTCTGCTGACTCATCGCTGCCCCAGCTGGCAGGAGCCTTTTCTGGGGATGGCTGTTGCTAAGATTCCTTGGAGATGACTGATTGCTTCTCCTTGAGCTTTGTGAAAACATGTTTGTAGACTGCACGCAAACACACGCATGCACTCCTGGGGGCTTACACGCCTGGCCTGGACACCTGTGCATGCACGTTTATGTGTCCAAATGTGTGTGCACATGGAAGACCAGAACATGCTTCCTGTTCCCATCACCTCCGAGCGCACGTGTATGGACCAGTACACTCCCTACTCCACCCAAAAAGGGGCTGAGACACGCCAGGCTTTCCTGGCAGTAGGGGAAGCTGCCACTGTACGGGCCGCTCTCATCTGAAGGAGTTTCAGGTTGCCTTGAAACATTCTTGGCCTCTGTCCCTCCTGCCTTCTCTGGGTTTTTGGTTTGCTTCATTCTGCTGTAATGATCTAATCTTCCCTTCTCCCCAGGCCTGCCAGGTTTTTGATGTCTGGTGTTTCAGGCACTCAACTGGGAGCTGCTTGAGATCAGGCTGCCTGGCTTGGAAATGACTTGCCAAAGAGGCTCCAGGGAGTCTCAGTGCCTCTGTATCCCCCCCTCCCGCCAGGGGAGGGAGGGGACCAGCAATAGCATTCATGGAGGGGAAGTGCTGGGCCTTTCTCTGGGCTCTGCTGTTGAATGACGTGGGGGATGTTTGTTCCTCCTCTGTGCCCAGCTGAGCCTTGGCTGGGGTGAGGGTGAGGGTGCTCGGTGCTTAGCCTGCAGCCCTGGATGCCCGGCCTCCGGGGCCTTGTAGCCAGAGCTGTGTGTGACCTTGGTCACATTGGGCTCTTATTGCCTTGGTTTCCCCACCTGCTGGGCTGAAATTGGACTCCTTGCCGAGTCTTCCAGGGTTTTAATATGACAGGGCTTGGCAGGCACTTGGGCACCAGGCAAGGTTGTTTGTCACGGGTTCTTGAAGGGGTGGAGGGACAGGCAGGCCCCGTGCCAGCATGGAGCCAACACTCTTCTCTCACTAGCTCTGCTAGGCTCAGGCTCAAGTGTGGCTTCTTTAAATGGACCAACCCTGGGGGCCAGATCCCAGGAGCGCTCTCTGCTGTGATTCTGCAACTGTTGCTAGGAAAGGCTCTATACCTGGCCTCATGGGATGAGCTGTGGCCAGCCTGAATTCAGTGGGGTTGGCAAAGCTCACAGCTGCCACAAGAAAAATATCCCTCTGTGCTCAGGTCCTCATCCTAAATGAGGACAAGGCTGGCTTCAGAATTCCCGCTGCTTTTAACAGGCAATGATATGGGTGGGAACAGGGGTTGGGGGTTGGGAGGTAGAGTGGAAATTAAGAGAGTAAAGCAAATGACAAAAATAAAAGTAAGTGGCACAAAAAAATAGCTCTTTGTGGGAATGTCAGCAGCCTAATGCAAGCTCCCCAAGGCAGGAACGCTCTACTGGATGCATTATTTTGGATAGCACCACAAGAGTCTGGCAAATCGTAAACAGTCTCAAGGCGGGAGAGAACACAGCACTGTGTCCCACGGACACCAGCCTCACCACTCACGACGCATCAGCCTCTTGCCCAAGGCTCCCAGCCCACCCATGCCCCTTGCTCCAGCCTCAGGACAAAGCAGGACACCAAGCAATTTGCCCGCAGTCCTTGTTTTCACCAGGAGGTGGCAAGAACTTCCATATGAACTGCCTGCTGGTCAGGTTTGGGAATTACAAAGTCAGTCAGTAACCACAAAGCCTGTGAGATGGGAATCTCCAAAGGATGGGCTCTGGGCCCTAGCAGAGGTCTCTGAGCTGAAGTGGGCTTGCTGGGATCCACTGGTGAGGATGCAAGCAGAGAATGATCATAAGGACACATCTTTGTTGAGCTTTTAGTGCGTGCCAGGCACCTTGCTAAGTTGTTGCATGTATCCATCCATTGGATTCTTACAACCACCCTCTGAAGGAGGAAGTACCATGACCTGTATTTTCCACGTGGGAAAACTGAGGTGCAGCGATGTTAAGAAGGAGCTGGTCAGTAGAAATTTGTCTCCAGGCTGGGCGTGGTGGCTCATGCCTGTAATCCTAGCACTTTGGGAGGCCGAGGCGGGGGGATCACGAGGTCAGGAGTTTGAGACCAGCCTGGCCAATACAGTGGAACCCTGTCTCTACTAAAAATACAAAAAATTAGCTGGGCGTGGTGGCAGGTGCCTGTAATCCCAGCTGCTTGGGAGGCTGAGGCAGGAGAATCGCTTGAAGCCGGGAGGCGGAGGTTGCAGTGAGTTGAGATTGCACCACTGCACACCAGCTCGGGCGACAGTGCGAGACTCCATCTCAAAAAAAAAAAAAAGAAAAAGAAAAAGAAATTTGTCTCCAGAGCCTAACCCTTAGACACTTCCCATCATTGCTCCCTGATGATCATCATGCACGCAGTCATGGCACCAGGTGCCACCATCTTCTCCAGCGCTGCCACAGGCGGAGGAGAAACCTAAGTTCCCGTGCCGATATTCCATTTCCACGGCGCTTCTGCCTGTGACCTCTGGGAACTCACATATCAGCCAAGACAAGCCTCGTGGCAAATTTTATTAAGGTGTTCTCTCACTGAGTGACCAGAGCATGTGATTCAACCCCTTGGACCTTATCTTCTCCCTTTCTGTACAATAAGAGGCCTGTGGGGCCCCTCAGTTCCTTTGCTTTTCTGACATGCAACAATCTTAAGAAACAGCTTTCTTCAGTTCCTTTCCTTTTCTGACATGCAACACTCCTAAGAAACGGCTCTCTTCCAGGACTCCCAAGCACATTAAAGATGCAACCGATTTGCCTGGTCACAAGCACATGTGCACACACGTGAGATTCTGCGCCTATGGGTGCAAAATCCTGAACAGAGTCACACAGATGCACTATGGAACTGGGCAGGGCTTCCAACAGACTTGCATTTTTATTGTTTTTGTTTTTTTTTTTCTTTTGAGACGGAGTCTCCCTCTGTTGCCCAGGCTGGAGTGCAGTGGCACGATCTTGGCTCACTGCAAGCTCCACCTCCTGTGTTCACGCCATTCTCCTGCCTCAGCGTCCCAAGTAGCTGGGATTACAGGTGCCCGCCACCGCGTCCTGCTAATTTTTTGTATTTTTAGTAGAGACGGGGTTTCACCGTGGTCTTGATCTGCTGACCTCGTGATCTGCTCGCACTGGCCTCCCAAAGTGCTGGGATTACAGGCGTGAGCCACCGCGCCTGGCCAGGATTTTTTTTTAAAACGGAGTCTCACTCTGTCGCCCAGGCTGGAGTGCAATGGCATGATCTCGGCTCACTGCAACCTCCGCCTCCCGGGTTCAAGCGATTCTCTTGCCTCAGCCTCCCAAGTAGCTGGGACAACAGGTGTGCACCACCACGCCTGGCTAATTTTTGTATTTTTAGTAGAGACGGGGTTTCACCATGCTCGCCAGGCTGGTCTTGAACTCCTGATCTCAAATGATTCGCCTGCCTTGGCCTCCCAAAGTGTGGGGATTACAGGCGTAAGCCACCGCGCCCAGCCCACCAGGATGTTTTGTAGCGTGTCCCTCATATTGCCTGGCACAGTGCAGCCCCTAATAGGTGATCAATTTGTATTTGTGCATTGGTGGCTAGTGGAGAGCAGGTGAGTTAGGCTAACAGAATTGTTTGGTTACATGCATCCACCAACCCCATGACACTTTCAGAAACCACCATCAGGACTAAACTCCACAGTCTGCTCTCTAAGCCAGCTCCTCACTCAGTTGTCCCACCCCTACCTCCCAGCAAGTGCTAAGGCCACACCCTACATCTCCTGCTCTTCCTGTGTCTCTGCCCATCTCCTACCTTGCTTTTCCATCTCCTACATGCAGATTTGAATCCATGCCCTGAACTACTGCCTTTCCTCCCTCTCTCCTTCTTTTGATTTTCTTCTCTGAGAAGAGCCAGAGGGAGGCCTTTAAGTGGCTGTTGGAGAGGGGAGGACTTGGAGCTGGAGGCACCGAGCCCCAGGCCTGGTTGGGGGTGTCAGGTGGAGGAGGGCAGGCTCCACCCTGGCTTCTCTCCTTGCCTCTCCTCTTTCAGACCTTTCCTCCCTGAGGCCCACCTGGGGAACCAGAAATGCCAGAACTGTAACTCCACCTCTGGGATCTGCAGGGTGAGCCTGTGGTGAGTCCCCAGGTGGGTGGGGCCTGGGCGAGTGGCAAGCAAGCCTAGCAAGCCAGAGGAAAGTCCTGCAGTGTCTTTGTGTTTTGTTTGTTTTGAGACGGAGTCTGGAGTCTCACTCTGTTGCCCAGGCTGGAGTGCAATGGTGCAATCTTGGCTCACTGCAACCTCCACCTCCTGGGTTCAAGCGATTCTCCTGCCTCAGCCTCCTGAGTAGTTGGGATTACAGGCGCCCGCCACCGTGCCTGGCTAATTTTTTGTATTTTTAGTAGAAACGGGGTTTCACCATGTTGGTCAGGCTGGTCTCAAACTCCTGACCTCAGGTGATCCATCTGCCTTGGCCTCCCAAAGTGCTGGGATTACAGGTGTGAGCCACCGCGCCCAGCCAGGTCCTGCAGTGTCTACGTTCTCCTGCATCGGGGCTTCAGGATTCAGAGCCTGGAACCAATGAGGACAAAAACAAGCGCTTTTTCCATGCTCCCTTCCCAGCCCGAGGAGATGGGAAGGAAGCCAGTGTTGGGCGTGGGGTCTGCTGGTTTCTGAGTGACAAGCCTTTAGATTAGGCTGGAAATGGCCAGTTGGAAGCTCCCAGTGCTGCCTGACTTTGAACTAGGTTTGCTTGATCTGGAGCTAATGAGACACCAAAGTCTCCCTGGTGGCCGTGTAGTCTACCTGGCCCACTAACACCTTCTATGGGTGGGGGCTAAGGAGTGGCCCCCAGGCAGGACCCCAGGAAGCTGGGCTGAGCTCCTGGACAGGGGTGTGGGGGTGGGTGGTAAGGGTGGGGGTGCCTGCTGTCCCACCCAGTGGCTTGCTGGGATGAGAAGGTGTGATCTGTCCTTCCACATCACCCTCCACTCATTTCAGGCCTTTGATGGAGGCCGCCTCTGTCCTCAGGCTTATAGACCAGGACATGCACCTTCTCGGGGGTGCTTCTGCTGGCCTTGAGGCTAGGGGGATAGGACCACTGCTCTGCTCCACCCCAGCCTCCCGCCTTTACTTCCCCAGTCCCTAGGGTGGGTGCTGGAGAAGGTCCTCCTGCCACCACCCCTCATCCCACTGGCTGCGCAGCGACACCTGGTGGATCACGAGTGCCATCACAAGGAGACCCCAGAAGCCCCACACTGGCTGAGCCCTCGGTTCTAACCTCTGAGCCTCACTCAATCTCAGTCCATCCCCCCAGGGGGCTAAAACCCACCATTTCCCTCTGAGCCCAGAGTCCCAGGTACTGGGGACTGCTGGAAACAAGGAGCTGAGTCTTGGAAGGAGTCAATGTCCTATCAGACAAGGACTTTGGGGAGCCAGTCCAGGTCATAAAGTCAAGGTATTTGGCCACTAGGGTTGGATGAAGCTACCGGAAAGGTCTGGAAGGGACTGGGCCTGGGGGTGAGCCCTGGGTCAGCTCCTGGGGATTTGTGGGCACAAAGCAGATTCTGCTGCCCTCCTCAGGGCCAAATTGGAATCTGTACCAGGCCCTGAGCCTGGACTACACCCCCACTCCCCCACCCCGGGGACACACCGCGTGAACTGATTCCACACACTACTCCTGACAGCACTGCTGTCACCCAGGAGCTTGCCTGTGTGCTTTTTGTTTGGTTTTTGAGATGGAGTCTCACTCTGTCACCCAGGCTGGAGTGCAATGGCGCAATCTCGGCTCACTGCAACCTCTGCCTCCTGGGTTCAGATGAGTCTCCTGCCTCAGCCTCCTGAGTAGCTGGGACTACAGGCATGCACCACCATGCCCGGCTAATTTTCATATATTTGGTAGAGACGGGGTTTCACCATATTGACCAGGGTAGTCTTTTTTTTTTTTTTTTTTTTTTGAGATGGAGTCTTGCTCTGTCACCCAGGCTGGTGTGCAGTGGCTCGATCTCGGCTCACTGCAACCTCTGCCTCTTGGGTTCAAGCGATTCTCGTCCTCAGCCTCCCGAGTAACTGGGATTACAGGCTGCAGTCGCCTGGCTAATTTTTTGTATATTTACTGGAGATGGGGTTTCACCATGTTGGCCAGGCTGGTCTTGAACTCCTGACCTCAAGTGATCTGCCCACCTCGGTCTCCTAAGGTGCTGGGATTACAGGCATGAGTCACTGTGGCCAGCCATTGCCTATGTGTTTTTAGAACTACAGGAATAATGGGAAGAGTTTGAGCTGGCATGTCATCCACCTATTTTTCATGGTGTGACTTAGGCAGGGTCACACAGTTACAATGCAAGGGGCATCTCCCTGGAGGGGACATGGGGACAGATCACTTCCTTGTGGACTGTAGTAACCTGAGTCCATTTCACAGTAGAGCATTGCCAGGTGTCTAAATGCAGGGCGGAACAGTCACATCGTTCCTTCCTGCTGATTCTTTTGGGTGATGGGGGGTGGTCTTTTCATTATCGCTTCTCTCAGTTCCTCAGTATTGAGGACTGCTGGGGTTTGAATCTAGTTTTACAGTATTACAGTGTGGCCTTGGTTCCATAACCTCTCTGTGCCTCAGTTTCCTCACCTGTATAAAGATTGTAATGCTACCTACTTCACAGGGTTGTTATGAGGATTCCATGAGCTAAGGTATGGAAAGTGCTTAGGAGAATGCCAGGCGCATGGTCACTGCTGAGAATCATTGATAAGAATTATTTCCCCACCCCCTCAGAAGGCAGTATATGCGGGGAGTGTGTCTTAGCTTGGGCTACCATAACAAAACATCATAGACTGCATGGCTTAAACAACAGAAACTTATTTTCTCACAGTTCCAAAGGATGGAAGTCCAAGAGCAGGGGGCCAGCAGGATTGGGTCCTGGTGAGGGCTCCCTTCCTGGCTTGTGGATGGCTGCCTCCTCACTGTCTGCCCACACTGTTTCCTCTGTGCATGTCAAGAGCAGAGTATCTTTTCCCCTTCTTATAAGGCTACCGATCCTTTTGGATTAGGGCCTCACCTTTATGACTTCATTTAACCTTAATTACCTCCCAAAGGCCCTATCTCCAAATATAGTCACATTGGGGTTAAAGGCTTCAACATACAAATATTTTGGGAGGACACAATTCAGTTCATAGCAGAGTGGAACACTGATTGAAGAACTCAGGTACTGCATGTATAGCAACCAGTGACACTAAGACCCAAGTCTTCCTTGGCCCTGTGGCTGGGGCTGGTTTCTCCTGTCAGCAGCTTGAGGTAGTAGAAGGATCAACAGGGCAGATGGGCTATTCTAAGCCCCAGGTCCCTGTAATCCCAGTGCCAGGGGATGCAGATCTCCCATCATGGAGGCAAGTATTGAATGCAGAGTCCATGCTATTTCCTGGGGTAATATGTGGCTGGGCACAAAGACATTCTTTTTCAAGGCTGTCAAATTTGAGCTTGAAAAATGTGCATGCTGGCATGGGCCACGGGTTGGGTTAGGTGAGGTCCTTTCTTTCTTTCTTTTTTTTTTTTGAGACGGAGTCTCACTCTGTCACCCAGGCTAGAGCGTAGTGGCATGATCTTGGCTCAATGCAACCTCTGCCACCCGGGGTTCAAGGGATTCTCCTGCCTCAGCCTCCTGAGTAGCTGGGATTATAGGTGCCTGCCACTGTGCCTGGCTAATTTTTGTAGTTTTTTTTTTTTTTTGAGATGGAGTCTCACTCTGTCACCCAGGCTGGAGTGCAGTGGCACGATCTCGCTTCACTGCAAGCTCCGCCTCCTGGGTTCACACCACTCTCCTGCCTCAGCCTCCCGAGTAGCTGGGACTACAGGCGCCCGCCACCACGCTGGGCTAATTTTTTGTATTTTTTAGTAGAGACAGGGTTTCACCATGTTAGCCAGGATGGTCTCGATCTCCTGATCTCGTGATCCACCTGCCTCGGCCTCCCAAAGTGCTGGGTTTACAGGCGTGAGCCATCACGCCTGGCCAATTTTTGTAGTTTTTAGTGGAGATGGTGTTTCACCATCTTGGCTAGGCTGGTCTTGAACTCCTGATCTCGTGATCCATCTGCCTCAGACTCCCAGTGTGCTGGGATTACAGGAGTGAGCCACCACACCCGGCCAGGTGAGGTCCCCTCTATAAGGCTGACTACGAGATTGTCAAAGCACATGGCAGAAGAGATATGCTGGGGCTATGGGTTTCTTTGGCTAGACTATAGGTATAAACTGGCAGATTCTACCTCTCCATGTGCTCAATACCTCTCTCACAGCCCAACTTGGAGAGATGCTGCTGAAAGATTACATTACTTAGGACGGTTTCAGTTTCAAGTTACAGAAACCCAAATCCAACTAGCTTAAGCAAAAAGAGAGTTTATTAACCCTCAACTGGGCACCACCTTCAGGCACAGTTTGATCTAGGGGTTCAAACAATGTCATAGGCGTTTTATCTCCTTAGTCTCTCAGCTTTGTCTCCTTCTATGTACTGGCTTCACTCTGCACATGTGCTTTCTCTTGTGTCAGAAAGATGACAGCTAGTAGCCTTAAATTCACATCTTTCCTTCTAATAAATTCCCAGAAACATAATTTCTGTCTTTCATATATTAGGGAAGACTCTTTTTTTTTTTGAGATGGAGTCTTGCTCTGTCGCCCAGGCTGGAGTGCAGTGGTGTGATCTCGGCTCACTGCAAGCTCTGCCTCCCGGGTTCAAGCCATTCTCCTGCCTCAGCCTCCCGAGTAGCTGGGACTACAGGGGCCCACCACCACACCCGGCTAATTTTTTGTATTTTTAGGAGAGACGGGGTTTCACCGTGTTAGCCAGGATGGTCTTGATCTCCTGACCTCGTGATCCGCCTGCGTCGGCTTCCCAAAGTGCTGGGATTACAGGCATGAGCCACCGTGCCTGGCCAGGGAAGACTCTTAACTGGACCTTTAGAGGCCATGTCCACTAAAGGATCAATCAACATAGGGAGGAACCTCTGGCTGGGCAGCCAAGGTCACCTGCCTACCCTTACATTCTTGGAAGCAGGTAGGGCCCCCTGCAGAGGGAGAGAAGTTCCCCATGGAAACTAAAGGGAGTTGGATGGGGAAGCAAGTTGGCTATGCAAAGCCATCACTGCCATATTCTTCTTAGAGGGACTTCAAGTCCCAGGAGGACTTCTTTTTCTTTTTTTTGAGACGGGGTCTTGTTCTTGCCCAGGCTGGAGTGCAGTGGCACCATCACAGCTCACTGCAGCCTCAACCTCCTGGGCTCAAACGATCCTCCTGCCTCAGCCTCCCAAAGTGCTGGGATTACAGGTGTGAGCCATTGTGACTGGCTGCCCAAGAGAACATCTGTCTTCACATTGGAATGGCAGCACAGGAATGTTAAAACTTGTCAGGTCCACCCCAGCTCACTTGACAAACAAGAGGACTGAGGCCAAGGTAAGCACCTTGCTCAAAGTCATCCTTCTTTCTTCTGCAGAGGCATGACATCATTGTTGGCTCTGTGTCTAATTATTCCAGTCAAGATCCAAGTGCCTGGCCCAAGGGTTGTCTGAGAATCCCTCTTCCCCTAGAGTGGCTCAGCACACAGCCAGGAAGTGACGAGGGTATTTCAAGAGGCTCCTTATCGATTAGCCCAAGGTGTCTGGCCCAGTCCTCACCCTCCTCAGGGCCATGGGCTGGGAGCCCTCTCATCTCTCCTTTGCTAGTGGAGGCTGGGGAGACTGCGAATGGCTATCAGGACTTGAGAAGGTGTGGCTGGGAGATTGGCTACGAATGCATGGAGATTACAAAACAGGGAGATGGGTCTCCATGTGTGGTCTCTGTGATTCATCTGAGGGTCCGAAGTTCGAGCTCACCTCCTGGGGAGGAAGTGAGCATTGAAAGGCCTGGTGAATTCTGATCAACATGGGATCCTCAACCCAAATCATCTCTAGATGCTGTCTTCATTGGGCTCCTCCTCCAAGGCAGGATGTGATGTCAAGAGAGGAGCCCAGAGGGAAGGCAGCTGCTTCCTCCTTCTCACCACAGGACCACAGCTTCTCTCTTTTCATGTGTGCATGGCCACACTGGCCCACCTCACATGCTCTCCACACAAGCCACCTGCCTCCTGCTACACCCATGCCATTCATGTTCCCTTGCCACTGGAACACTGGCCCATAGAAAGCACCCATTATGGTCGGGCACGGTGGCTCACACCTGTAATCCCAGCACTTTGGGAGGCCAAGGTAGGTGGATCATGAGGTCAGGAGATCGAGACCATCCTGGCTAACCTGGTGAAACCCCGTTTCTACTAAAAATACAAAAAATTAGCCGGGCATGGTGGCGGGTGCCTGTAGTCCCAGCTACTTGGGAGGCTGAGGCAGGAGAATGGCTTGAACCTGGGAGGCGGAGCTTGCAGTGAGCCGAGATCGCGCTACTGCACTCCAGCCTGGGCGACAGAGCGAGACTCCGTATCAAAAAAAAAAAAAAAAAAAAAGAAAGCACCCATTATAGGCCAGCTATTGTTATTTATTTATTTATTTATTTTTGAGACAGAGTCTCACTTTGTTGCCCAGGCTGGAGTGCAGTGGTGCCATCTCGGCTCACTGCAACCTCCGCCTCCCGGATTCACACCATTCTCCTGCCTCAGCCTCCCAAGTAGCTGGGACTACAGGCGCCCGCCACCACGCCCGGCTAATTTTTTTTTTTTTTGTATTTTTAGTAGAGACGGGGTTTCACTGTGTTAGCCAAGACGGTCTCGATCTCCTGACCTCGTGATCCGCCCGCCTCAGCCTCCCAAAGTGCTGGGATTCCAGGCGTGAGCCACAGCCTGCTATTATTTAAATCAGTGGTCCTCAGGGTTGAATCTCCCCTAGGAAGAATTTTGGAAATGTGTGTGCCCGCATGAGCGTTGGTGGTGGTGGAAATGTTGCCTTCTCATGCAGTCATGCCTAAACATTTACATACGGAATGCAGTCATTCCTGACCATTTACATATTGAAATACCTGTTGTTTCATTTTAATATTTTTCCTTTATGATATAGTTATAATAATAATGATTAAAATATATATATATATATATATATGTATATGTATGTATATATTTTTTTTAGATGGAGTTTCACTCTTGTTGCCCAGGCTGGAGTACAATGGGGCCACCTCAGCTCACTGCAACCTCCACTTCATGGGTTCAAGTGATTCTCCTTCCTCAGCCTCCCGAGTAGCTGGGATTACAGGTGCCCACCACCACACCCGGTTAATTTTTTGTATTTTTAGTAGAGATGGGGTTTCACCATGTTGGCTAGGCTGGTCTCGAACTCCTGAACTTAGGTGATCCACCCACCTCGGCCTCCCAAAGTGCTGGGATTATAGGCGTGAGCCACCGCGCCTGGCCGATTAAAAATATTATGTCAGTAGGTAGGTTATATTAACACATTTACTTTCAGGTTGCTGTTACAAAATATTTAAAAATCAATTTTAAAGGGAATGTCATTGGGTCTCAAGGGATTGAGACCCACAGTTCTAGATGGCTGGACTTATATTGCCACTCTTTTTATTTTATTTATTTATTTATTTTGAGACCAAATCTCGCTCCGTCACCCAGGCTAGAGTGCAGCGGTGCAGTCTTGGCACACCGCAACCTCCACCTCCTGGGTTCAAGTGATTCTTGTGCCTCAGCCACCCGAGTAGCTGGGACTTCAGGCACACACCATCATGCCTGGCTAATTTTTTTTTTTTTTTTTTTTTTAGTAGAGACGGGGTTTTGCCATATTGGCCAGGATGGTTTTGAACTCCTGGCCTCAAGTGATCTGCCTGCCTCGGCCTCCCAAAGTGCTGGGATTACAGGTGTGAGCCACTGCAACTGGCCCACTCTTATTTTTAAGCAGGGCACCTTCCCCTCTGAACTTGGCACACACACACACACACACACACACATTTAAGTCCCTGTCACCAGCTACCTGCACCTTCTCTGTGCATATCTAGGACACATCTGGTCCAATTCTGTCCCCTCCCTACTCTCACCTGCCCCCAGCATTGCAAGGACAGGCCCAGACTGGTAGAACTCAATCACGTGTGCACGCAGAGAACCAGCCAGGGTACCCAGCCTCTCCTGCTGGCTGTCAGGTCTAGGAAAAAGATGATCAAGTGTGGTGGCTCATGCCTATAATCCCAGTACTTTGGGAGGCTGAGGCAGGAGGATTGCTTGAGCCCAGGAGGTCAAGACTACAGTGAGCCGTGACTGCACCACTGCACTCTAGCTTGGGGGACAGAGTGAGATTCTGTTTCAAAAAAAGAAAAAAAAAAAAAAAAGGCCTGGCACAGTGGCTCACTCCTGTATTCCCAGCACTTTGGGAGGCTGAGATGGGTGGATCACGAGGTTAGGAGTTCAAGACCAGCCTGGCCAACATGGTGAAACTCTGTCTCTACTAAAACTACAAAAACTAGCCAGGCACGGTGGCAGGCGCCTATAATCCCAGCTACTTGGGAGGCTGAGGCAGTAGAATTGCTTGAACCTGGGCGGCAGAGGTTGCAGTGAGCTGAGATGGTACCACTGCACTCCAGCCTGGGTGACAGAGGGAGATTCTGTCTCAAAAAAAAAAAAAAAAAAAAAAAAAAGATACAAATGAAAAAGGAAAAAAGATGGATGTGTGCCATGTGCGGTGGCTCACGCCTGTAATCCCAGCACTTTGGGAGGCTAAGGTAGACGGATCACTTGATTTCAGGAGTTCGAGACCAGCCTGACCAACATGGTGAAACCTTGTCTCTACTAAAAATAAAAAATTAGCTGGGTGTAGCTGTAGTCCCAGCTATTTCGGAGGCTGAGGCAGGAGAATCACTTGAACCCGGGAGGCAGAGGTTGCAGTGAGCTGAGATCACGTGCCATTGCACTCCAGCCTGGGCAACAAGGGTGAAACCCCATCTCAGAAAAAAAAAAAAAAAAGAAAAGAAAAGAAAAAGAAAGATGGATATGTTCCTAGGAAAGGCATTGCTTCTCACCACACCTTCCTACCTGCTCAGCCATCACCTCACAGTGCCAGCCATCATCCCCTCATCACCCCCTACCAAAACACCGCCTCCCCACCCCCACTCCCCACACAACTGAAACACAGCCTGGACTCTTCCAAGTCAGGTTTGTCATTGTTACAAAATGATCATTGTAAGAAAAAGGAACAAACCCATAGAGTAGAACTCACACCTACTCCTATTATCCAGAGAAAGCCCCTGCTGATATTCTGAGTTTTTTCCTCGGAAATCATACCTCTGTATTTTGTGTGTGTTTTTTTATTATTATTATTTTTTGAGATGGAGTCTCGCTCTGTTGCCCAGGCTGGAGTGCAGTGGTGCGATCTTGACTGCAACCTCCACTTCTCCAGTTCAAGAGATTCTCCTGTCTTCAGCCTCCCAAGTAGCTGGGATTACAGGCGTGCATACCATGCCCTGCTAATTTTGTATTTTTAGTAGAGATGGTGTTTCACCGTGTTGGCCAGGCTGCTCTCGAACTCTTGACCTCAGGTGATCCACCCACCTTGGCCTCCCAAAGTGCAGGGATTACAGGCAGGAGCCACTGTGCTCGGCCTGTATTTTATGTTTTAATAATCTCTCTGCACATGCTGTTTTGTACCTTGCTTTTTTTTTTTTTTCTGCTCAATTACATATCTTGAACATCTTTCCAGGCCATTAACTATTCTTCTACCAAGAAATGTCAATGGCTGCCCAGTATTCCATAAATAAATCAGTGTTTATTTAACCAGCCTACTGATTGCTAGACATTTTGTACCTCATTCTTGACTTTGTTTGAATCTCGGCTCTGCACTTAATAGCTGCGTGCTAACAGGAAAGTCACTTCCGCTTTCTGAGCCTCCGTTTGCTCATCTGCCCGCTGAGCAGCCTAATGCCCCAGTGCCCTTAAGGCATTGCTTCAAAGATCTGAGTTGGTGGATGATGCAGCGCTTGGCACGGTGCCGGTGACACATCCCCCTAAGTGTTTTCTCAGTGTGAGTCTTCATCGGCTTCTCTGCTGTGCCTTCTTCAGCTTGTTTGCGAGTTCCTGGTTCATCCTGACCACCCTGAAAGGCCGCCCCTGGGACTTTGCATAACTCATTCTGTCTCCTGGTGTGTAAGTCTCTCTCCTGGTTCCCAGCAGGAGTGTAGGAATGAGTGCTTGTCCTGGACTCTGGGCTGGGAACTAGCACCTAGTGGGGACTGGACTAGGATGACTTGGGCCAATTTCTTTTCAGGCTGAGCTTGGATTTCAGATCAGATCTCTTAGGACAGAGCCCTTGGGAATTCCCATGGTGTGAATGTCCTGGGCCAGCGGGAATGGCTGCTCGCTCATCTCTTCCAAGGTGAGTGTGAAGGTCTGCCCAGGCCCCTGGGTGCATGCCAAGCTGTGTGCTCCCACCTTGATGTCCAGAGATGTAACCCTCCCAGACGGTGAGTATGCTCCAGGAGCCTCCCACACCTGCCACGGGCCACTCTTTCTGGGGCTGTCTCTGTGTGAGGGTCTGGCCGTGGCTGCCCTAGACCCACTCAGGAAGACTTGCTTCTTCAGCCAAGTCTCCCTTCTGTCCAGCCACTGGTGTGACTCATCACAGAGCCCATTTCTACTGCAAAAAGAAATGCTCAGACCTACGGCCCTGGTTACAAAAGAGGCCACTCAGCTGAGGATCTGCTTCCAACAACTGGAATGCCGACCCTGAATAACCCCAAGTAGAAAACGCGTGTATAGAGCTTGTGTGCGCAAGTACACACACACGCATGTCCTCACGTACCCTCCCACGCGCTCTCACTCGCTCTCCAGCATGCCCATCCTTATCCGCTCACACATTCACACACATGTATGCACGCACGCAACTACCCTGTGCTGTGCCAGACAGCAGTTACTCTGGCTCAGCTTATGTTTTTCGTCATGCTGTTCTGAGAAAAAAGAGAATATGTTTGGAGAGACCCCAGCTGCCAGACAGCAGTGCTTTTCTTCCCCCCCTAATTTTGGCCCCATAAGTCAGATCTCAATTTTCTTTACCCCTTGAGCAGTGAAAGAGAAAGGGGCACACACCACAAACCAGAAATGAGACAGAAGCCTGGTGCAGTGGTGTGCACCTGCAGTCCCGAATACTCAGGAGGCCGAGGCTGGAGGATTGCTTGAGGCCAGGAGTTTGAGTCCAGTCTGGACAACATAGCGAGACCTTGTCTCTAAAAAAAAAACTTAAAAAAAAAAAAAACACATGAGACAGAGACCTCTACCCTGTGACACCCTGGTTATCTGATTGCACCTGGTGCACACTCTTCAGTGGGATACAGAGATTCTTACTTCCTCTTGACCTACAAGATAAGCATATAGTAGGTCAGAGTGCTGGAGGGAGGTGGAGAGGGGTCAGGAGAGAGAAGACTCGGGACTGGCTTTGGGAAGGAAGCAGGAATGGAGATGGGCCTGGAAGGATTGAGAAAATCTCATCAGAAGAGGCCAGGTGCAATGGCTCACACCTGTTATCCTAACACTTTGGGAGGCCAAGGTGGGAAGATTGCTTGAGGCCAGGAGTTTGAGACCAGCCTGGGCAACATGGTGAGACTCCCTGTCTACATAAAATTTAAAAAAATGATGTGGGCGTGGTGGCCCACACCTACAGTCTCAGCTACTTGAGAGGTTGGGAGGGGAGGATCACTTGAGCCCAGGAAGTAGAGGCTGCAGTGAGCTGTGATTGTGCCAAGACACTTTAGCCTGGGTGACAGCACAAGACTTTGTCTGAAAAAAAAAAAAAGGCTTAACAATCCATCCCTTTCTAAGTCCAAAACCAGTACAGAATCAGCCTAGAAACCTTTATAATCTAATTTAACTTAACAAATATTCAAATATTTACTGAAGGTCTAACATGTGCCAGGCACTGTCAAAAGATGCCAAGAGAAGAAAAACATTCCTTCTTCGAACCTTCCCCAGGGAAGCGCTGTCACCCTTTGGGCATACACTTCCCACGCTTTCTGAGACAGGGTCTTTGCAGATGGGCTGGTCAGCACCATCCTGCAGCTTCTTGGGGACTATTCGTCTGCGTGGCAGAAGTGCAAGAGAGCTGTCAGGAGTTGGAGGACTTGTAACTGCTGCTTACTCTCTTCCTACAGCACAGTGGTTCACAATCTGGGAGATTTTGTCCTTCAAGGACATGTGGCAATATCTGAGACATTTTTGGTTGACATAAATAGAGGAGGTGCTACTGGTAACCCCCCTGCAAGGCAAAGGACAGCCCCCACAGTGAAGAGGGAGCTGGCCCCAAGTGTCATCAGGGCTGGGGCCAAGAAGCACTGCTGTAGCATATTAGTTCTGGTTGCTGTGATGGTGATTCCTTAATAGCATCTCTCACCATTTCTTTCTTTTTTTTTGGAGGCGGCGGGACAGAGTTTCAAAAAGGCAACGTCTGCCTCCTGGGTTCAAGCAATTCTCCTGCCTCAGCCTCCTGAGTAGCTGGGATTACAGGCGCCTGCTGCCACGCCGGCTAATTTTTGCATTTTTAGTAGAGACAGGGTTTCACCATGTTGGCCAGGCTGGTCTTGAACTCCTGACCTCAGGTAATCCACCCACCTCAGCCTCCCAAAGTGCTGGGATTATAGGCGTGAGCCACTGTGCCCAGCCATCTCTCCCCATTTCTTTATTTTATTTTATTTTTTTGAAATGGAGTCCCACTCTGTTGCCCAGGCTGGAGTGCAGTGGTATGATCTTGGCTCACTGCAGCCTCTGCCTCCTGGGTTCAAGCGATTGTCCTGCCTCAGCCTCCTGAGTAGCTGGGACTACAGGTGCCTGCCACCACGCCCGGCTAATTTTTGTATTTTTAGTAGAGATGGAGTTTCGCCAAGTTAGCCAGGCTGGTCTCGAACTCCTGACCTCAGGTGATCTGCCCGCGTTGGCCTCCCAAAGTGCTGGGATTACAGGTGTGAGCCACCTCGCCCAGCCATCTCTCCCCATTTCTAATGCACGAATCCAATCCATCATGGCCTGGGAAACTAGTTACTTAAGCTTGCTAAGACTGCTTCTAAAAGAAGAATAAAGAGGTACAGAATCCAGCACCATAGACTACCCCATGAGTCAAATGCATGAGCTTTGTGATCCTGACTGAGGTTTGACTAGGGCTTAGGAACTAGACTCATGACTCAGTGGGTCTACCAAGGTGGGTGGTGTCAGTGGCAGGGATTCTGGGCCTTCAAGAGAGGTGTTCACGCACAAAGAACAGATCCTGCCCTAGGGCATTAATCAGAACTCTCTGGTACCCAAAGGGCAGCTTCCTCCCTTGGTTGGACCATGGCCCACTCCTGCGGTTTGTGCCTTTTCTATCTGGGCATTGAATCCTGGCATCTTTGGCTTCTGCTCCTCACTGTTTCAATTCCTGGCCATACCCCATGCTTTGTGCCACCCCATGATTTGGTTTCCATGTTCCATCTTGCCCTCCTGCCTCCTCCTGGCCCCTGCCCTACAGCCAGACAGATGGAACAATAGGCCCCCTTTCCTCCTTCTGGATTTTCTACAGTGTTCCGCATAAACAGGGTGGCCACACTCGTGGCCTCTTTGTATGGCTTTACCATATTTGGTTTGGGAACACATCATGTATGTAATGTGCCAGCACTCTGTTCTTGGCTCGGGCTGGCTCATTCCAAGTTTTATAGGACTTCTTTGGTTGCAAGTGATGGAAATCAACTCTGGCTGGGCTAAGCAAAACAGGAATCTTTTGGAAAGACCCCAGAGGCATCTCAGGAATTCCAGGGCAGAGATGCCACTGGGCCTCAGGGATTGACTAAAACCAGGAACAGGGCACTGTGGGAGCACAGAAAGCCCTCCCTCTCCTTTCTGCCCTCTGCCTCCTGCTTCTTCCCCACATCTGCTTTCTGGGATGCTCGGAACTTGGGGTAGAAAATATCCAGTG
The DNA here is from genome assembly GCF_000001405.40 of Homo sapiens. Lineage (NCBI taxonomy): Eukaryota > Metazoa > Chordata > Mammalia > Primates > Hominidae > Homo > Homo sapiens. The sequence continues at coordinate 76,901,102 of NC_000014.9, read as the reverse complement.
AAAATAACAGTGGCTGGGCTTACATGTCTTCCATTCAGGGGAGCCGTCAGCCTGGGCTGGAAACTCTCGGTCCTGATTGAAAATTTCTGGGGGGAAAGATTTCTATGGCCGGTGGGCAAACAAAATACTAGGTATCCATGGTGACATTTACACTGATGGCCAAGAGAGGACACTAAAAGAGAGGGAAAGCTTCTGTTTTGGGTAATGAGCTTTGAAAGGCTGGGCGGGGTTGAAATGAAATCAGACACTCAGTAGTGCAAGTCTAAGATGTGGAGGGCTTGGCTTAATTCCACTCAATCTAACACACTTTTAGGAGAAATGACTATAGCTCCAATCCCCAAGGAGCTCCCCCTCTAATAAGGGACTAAGACAGACAAAAAACTACAGTACCAAGGTGGGCTGTCCAGAATACTGCCACAGACAGTGCCCTGTGCACCAGGGCAAGGGGTGGGGAACTCTGCCAGGTCAGGTTAGCCCAGGAAGGGCAACACTAGTTGGGTGACATTTGAGCTGAGCCTCCGAGGATGGAAAAAACAGCTGGGCGGCAAAGCGAGTGGGAAGGACATACCTGGAGCTCCCGGGAAGCCTCCTGGGTCTTTGGCGACTGCAAATGCAACATCGTTGGGAGGATTTCTTCTTTCCACTTTTCTCATGGTCCTTTCTCTTTTCAGCCCCGTTTTGGTTTCCTACCATGTCATCACAAACTTAGTAGCTAAAACAACACAAACTTATTATCTTATAGTTCTGAAGGTTAGACGTCCAAAATGAGTCTTATGGGGCTAAAATCAAAGGGGAGAGTCTGTTTAGCCAGGGGATAATCCGTTTCCTTGCCTTTTCCAGATTCTAGAGGCCGCCTGCATTCCTTGGCTTGTGGCCCCTACTTCCATCTTCAAAGCTCATCACTCCACCTCTGCTTCCATTGTCCCATCTCCTTCTTCTACTTTTGACCTTCTAGTCTCCAGAGTTTCGCTCTTGTTGCCCAGGCTAGAGTGCAATGGCACGATCTCAGCTCACCGCAACCTCTGCCTCCCAGGTTCAAGTGATTCTCCTGCCTCAGCCTCCCGAGTAGCTGGGATTACAGGCATGTGCCACCACACCCTGTTAATTTTGTATTTTTAGTAGAGACGAGGTTTCTCTATGTTGGTCAGGCTGGTCTTGAACTCCCTACCTCAGGTGAAATGCCTGTCTCAGCCTCCCAAAGTGCTGGGATTACAGGAGTGAGCCACCGCCCAGCCTTCCTCTTATAAAGGCCCTTGTGATTACATTGAGCTCACCTGGATGATGGGGGAGAATCTCCCCAGCTCAAGGTCCTTGACTTAATTGCAACAGCAAAGTCCTTTTGCCTCATAGGGTAATGGATTCACAGGTGCCGGGGATAAGGGTGTAGATTTCTTCTGGGTGGCAGGCATTGTTTGGCCTACCATAGCCTCCTTCACCGCCCTCCTCACTCTTGTTCTAGCTGCAGGCAAAGCCACCCATCTGATGGGATAGCCTGGGGAGCACACAGCACTCCTGCAGGGCGTGGCAGGGGGCACAGCTCACCTGTGCTGGTGGAGGCAGGATGTACAGCTGGGGCTCTACTTCCAGCTGTCCTGGATTAAGCAGACAGAGCAGGCCTTCTCCTGCCGGCAGGTTCAGGTGGGTCCTTGCTCTCTGGGTTCTAAGTTCTTTAGCTGCAATTGGAAGATTTGTCAGAGTTGTGCAAGGACTAGATTCGAGGAAGGCAGTCGGAGACCCTGCCAATTCTGCATTCAGCTCTTCAGTAATAAAGCCTGACTTTCTGTGCAGGTCCCTACTTAGCTCCTTCTGTCTGTTTTCAACAGGCCAAGAGCCCAGAGAGGAGGAGAAGTGAGTGTGGGGTTCCCTTTACCTGCCACAATCTGGGCTCACAAGGCTATCAAAGGCAGCTATCTAGGCAGTGTGAGTAGGAAGTACAGTGCCCGGAATAAGGACAGTAAATAGCCCATTGTCCTCCACTCTGCAAAACACAAGGGAGTTTTGTGTTCCATCCTGGGGCTGCATTTAGAAAGTGACATTAGAGGCCGGGCGCGGTGGCTCATGCCTATAATTCCTGAACTTTGGGAGGCCGAGGCAGGTGGATCACCTGAGGTCAGGAGTTCGAGACCAGCCTGGCCAACCTGATGAAATCCCATCTTTATTAAAAATACAGCTCCCTCTCTCTCCCCCTCCCCTCCCCCTCCCCCTCTCCCTCTCCCTGTCCCTGTCCCTGTCCCCGGTCTCCCTCTGATGCCACCAAAGTTGTGAAAGCCGAGGCTGGACTGTACTGCCGCCATCTTGGCTCACTGCAACCTCCCTGCCTGATTCTCCTGCCTCAGCCTGCAGAGTGCCTGGGATTGCAGGCGTGCGCCGCCACACCTGACTGGTTTTTGCATTTTTTGGTGGAGACGGGGTTCCGCCGTGTTGGCCGGGCTGGTCTCCAGCTCCTGACGGCGAGTGATCTGCCTGCCTCGGCCTCCCGAGGTGCCGGGATTGCAGACGGAGTCTGGCTCACTCAGTGCTCAATGTTGCCCAGGCTGGAGTGCAGTGGCGTGATCTCGGCTCACTACAACCTCCACCTCCCAGCCGCCTGCCTTGGCCTCCCAAAGTGCGGAGATTGCAGCCTCTGCCCGGCCACCACCCCGTCTGGGAAGTGAGGAGCGTCTCTGCCTGGCTGCCCATCGTCTGGGATGTGAGGAGCCCCTCTGCCCGGCTGCCCAGTCTGGGAAGTGAGGAGCGCCTCTTCCCGGCCGCCATCCCGTCTAGGAAGTGAGGCGTGTCTCTGCCCGGCCGCCCATCGTCTGAGATGTGGGGAGCACCTCTGCCCCGCTGCCTCGTCTGGGATGTGAGGAGCGCCTCTACCCGGCCGCCACCCCATCTGGGAGGTGAGGAGCGTCTCTGCCCGGCCGCCCCGTCTGCGAAGTGAGGAGCCCCTCCGCCCGGCAGCCGCCCCGTCCGGGAGGTGGGGGCCAGCCCCCGCCCCGCCAGCCGCCCTGTCCGGGAGGGAGGTGTGGGGGTCAGCCCCCGCCCGGCCAGCCGCCCCGTCCGGGAGGGAGGTGGGGGGCGCCTCCGCCCGGCCACTGCCCCGTCTGGGAGGTGGGGGGCGCCTCTGCCCGGCCGCCACCCCGTCTGGGAGGTGTACCCAACAGCTCATTGAGAACGGGCCATGATGACGATGGCGGTTTTGTCGAATAGAAAAGGGGGAAATGTGGGGAAAAGAAAGAGAGATCAGATTGTTACTGTGTCTGTGTAGAAAGAAGTAGACATGGGAGACTCCATTTTGTTCTGTACTAAGAAAAATTCTTCTGCCTTGGGATGCTGTTAATCTATAACCCTACCCCCAACCCTGTGCTCTCTGAAACCTGTGCTGTGTCCACTCAGGGTTAAATGGATTAAGGGCGGTGCAAGATGTGCTTTGTTAAACAGATGCTTGAAGGCAGCAGGCTCGTTAAGAGTCATCACCACTCCCTAATCTCAAGTACCCAGGGACACAAACACTGCGGAAGGCCGGGAGGCCGCAGGGTCCTCTGTCTAGGAAAACCAGAGACCCTTGTTCACATGTTTATCTGCTGACCTTCCCTCCACTATTGTCCTATGACCCTGCCAAATCCCCCTCTCCGAGAAACACCCAAGAATGATCAATAAATACTAAAAAAAATAAAATAAAATAAAAATTAAAAAAAATAAAAATAAAAATACAAAAAATTAGCTGGGCATGGTGGCGCGTGCCTGTAATCCCAGCTATTCAGGAGGCTGAGACAGGAGAAGAATCGCTTGAAAGCGGGAGGCAGAGGTTGCAGTGAGCCAACATCTCACCACTGCACTCCAGCCTGGGCAACAAGAGCAAAACTCCATCTCAAAACAAACAACAACAACAACAACAAAAAACAGGCTGGGCGAGGTGGCTCATGCCTGTAATCCCAGCACTTTGGGAGGCTGAGGTGGGTGGATTACGTGAGGTCAGAAGTTCGAGACCAGCCTGACCAACATGGAGAAACAGTGTCTCTACTAAAAATACAAAAATTAGCCAGGCGTAGTGGTGGACGCCTGTAGTCCCAGCTACTCGGGAGGCTGAGGCAGGAGAATTGCTTGAACCCGGGAGGCGGAGGTTGCAGTGAGCCGAGATCATGCCACTGCACTTTAGCCTGGGCAACAAAAGCGAAACTCTGTCTCAAAAAAAATAAAAATAAAAATAAAACCAGAAAGAGGCCTGGCGCAGTGGCTCACATCTGTAATCCCAGCACTTTGGGAGGCCGAGGTGGGCAGATCACAAGGTCAGGAGTTTGAGACCAGCCTGGCCAACATAGTGAAACCTTGTCTCTACTAAAAATACAAAAATTAGCCAGGTGTGGTGTCGTGCACCTGTAGTCCCAGCTACTCGGGAGGCTGAGGCAGGAGAATCACTTGAACCCGGGAGGCAGAGGTTGCAGTGAGCCGAGATCACGCCACTGCACTCCAGCCTGAGTGACAGAGTGAGACTCTGTCTCAAAACAAACAAACAAACAAACAAAAAAAACCCAGAAAGAGACATTAGAACAGAACCTGGGGGCATGTCCAGGAGGAAAGGACTAGAAACATGTCACATGATGAGCAATTACAGGAAGTAAGAGAAGAATTAAAATGTTAATTCATTTGTTGCCTGTCTAAAGTGTTAAGGCATTTTGCGCAGAGGTGCTCTAATCATCCCAGAAGCCCTGGAGAAAAGTGCATTTATCTTCATTAAACAGATGAGCAGACAGGAGCTCAAATAACTCAAGAATATCTCCTAAAGTCACACAGATAAGGAAGTGGTGAGCCTGGACTTGAAGTCGGGGGTCTGAAACCCCCTTCCCCAAGTGAAGGCTTCAGCCTTCCTCCAATGCTGCCTCTCCATAAATGAATTTTGTCTGAAAAAGCTTCTGAAGCAACTGTTAGTTGCTTACCCAATGCCCATTTTCCCTTTCTTCTTTATCAATAGCATCATCATTTTATTTGAGATGTGTCCAGATTTAAACAAATAAAAGATACACTATACTCCTTTGCAACTTGGAGAGACCACGGGTGACACTTCTGGCCTATATGACATGAGCAGAAGTCTGCTGGGTATTTCTGGGAATTATTTCCTGTTGCTTTCCCTTTTTTCCTTCCTGCTTGGGATGTGGATTGGAGTTTGAAGGTGGAGCACCCACTCCATAACTGCAAGGCAACCATGAGGATGAAAGCTACCTATTAAGGATGGTAGGCCGGGCATGGTGGTTCACACCTGTAATCCCAGCACTTTGGGAGGCTGAGGCAGGCAGATCACTGAGGTCAAGAGTTCGAGACCAGCCTGGCCAACATGGTGAAACCTAGTCTCTACTAAAAATACAAAAATTAGCTGGATGTGGTATCGTGTGCTTGTAATCCCAGCTACTTGGGAGGCAGAGGCTGGAGAATCGCTTGAACCTGAGAGGCAGAGGTTGCAGTGAGCCAAGATCGTGCCACTACACTCCAGCCTGGGCGACGGGGCAAGACTCAGTCTCAAAATTAAATAAATAAATATAAATTTAAAAAGTGACTTAAAAGATGGTAGAGCAGAAAGAGAAAAATAAATGAAGACACTCAGGACCTCATAGAGCTGTCACACCAGCTCCAGCCTGCCCAGCCCCAGCCTTATTGTAAGGTGAGAAATATCTATCTCTGCCTTTGGTTAAGCCATGGTCGTATGGTTTCTGCTTCATGCGGCCAAACTCGCTCCTTACTAGTAAAAAGGAACATGACGGCGCTTCTTAAATACTTGAAGGACTGTCTTTGGAAGTGGGTTTGCGCTTTTCCTATGTTGCCCTGGAGAGCAGATCTAGGGAGCGTGGAAGGTGCAGAGAAACAGAAACTGTCTCAGTCAGACAGAAGAAGAACTTTCTAGCTGTGCTCTTGTTTCTTGGCTCAATGGAAGAATTGACAATGAGTCAGGGGCCGTCCTCACCCATGGGAGAGTCTGGGCAGAGACTTGATGGCTCTAAGTGGGGCCAGATTAAGAGACTATGTTTGCATCAGTTAAGGACTGAACTCGATGCCATTTACATATCTGAGGACGAGAGCCGCTCAGGTATATCATCACATGACCCTCCTAATTAGGAGTATTTGCAGGATTGTGCAGTAGGCCTTTTCCTGTATGTACCTGTGAGGCAATAAGCTACCTTGATTAAAAAAAAAAAAGGTCCCAGCATCAGGTTAGTCGCGGAAGAACACAGAGGTTGGGAGATCATGGGTGATTAGATAACCTGGTTATTCTGACTTTGTGTTTTGCCTTTTCCTTGGGATCTCCCACTTTTACCACGTTGTCTCCAGGAAGGTGTATCACTCAAGAATCTCAGTTATAAGTGGCATAAAATCCCCAGAAGGGAATTTGTTGACTCAAGTAACTAAAACATTGAGAGGTTCGCAGATGATGTCATCAGGAACCTCTTTCCTTACATTTCTCTGGGCTGCTTTTCCCTGAGTAGCCTTCATTCTCAGGTAGTTTTTTACTAGGTGGTAGCCAGATGAGTATCAGCAACTTCATACTTGCATCGGGGGCTCATAGCAACCCCAGCAGTGAGCTAGCACCTTTCCTCTAATAGGTTCAGCAAAAACCCTGGAGAGGGCTGTCATTGGTCCAGCCCAGGTCACATGCCCACTTCTGACCAATCATGATAGTCAAGGATACACAGTGCTTTCATTGGCTAGGCCTGGGTGCTCCTTGATGAAGCTTGGCAGAGGGGTCAGCCCCACATGGGCTGAGAATGCCGGGGGGACGGAGTCCTTTCAGAAAGAGGAATTAGACGCTGGATAGGCTAAAACGACAGACTGGATTCTACCATGGGGTGCTGCTCTCCTTTTCCCACACTGACTGAAGGCTTAGCACCTCACCTTGGTGCCCGTTTACATGATCAAGACTATCTGGGTCTTTCCAAGACTGTTCTAAATCTAAAGGAGAAAAGGGGAACCAATCACAGACTCTTTAGGAAACATAAACCCAGTGTGACTTATCAAGTAAACCTTATGACATGGATAAAAAATTCAACTCGGGCTCAGATACTGCTTTGCAGAAACCTTAGCTGACTTCCTTGGCTCTTAGTTCTTCACCTGCCACTACATGGAGGGCAGTGATGTAGTTTCCCCCAAGTACAGGAGCTAGACCTTTTTACACCTGGATCTTTTGTGACTCAGCAAAGAAGACTTCTGACTCTGTTTTCCACTTAAAACCTGCTCACTGGGTATGGAGACCACAACCTCTCTCTTCTCTTTGTGGAAAAGGACAGTGTTGTCTACATATGTTAGTCCTACTCCTTTAACTCTAGCCATTCTTTAAAATATTTTAAAAATTTGTTTTAATCAACGTAATAGGCATATGTATTTTATAAAATTAAATGTATGATACGACTTATAGTGAAACTTCCCTACCTCAATTTCTCCTCCTGAAATTGAAAAAACCATGTTTAACCTTTTAAGTTTTTTCTTATGCAATTTACCTCCAGATTTCTAAATAACATGCTTTTACCTCTATTTTATTTATAAAATTTAGATATTATCAATAGACTTTCTATAGTGGAATCTTAGGATCCAGCTCTCCTAAGCTGGGAGACCTGACCACACAACCTGTTTCCAAGCTCAACACACTTCCTTGACACCCATCCTCCTGTGACAGCTTTAGTTAAACCATTATTTAGTGTTTGCATTGTGTGTATATGTAAAACTGTTCACAGCTGACCTATTGTGTACTGTGATTGTATCTCCTCTCTTACACAATTTATCTTACTAATTTATCTCTATGGCCCGGTGGCTCAAGCCTGTAATCCCAGCACTTTGGGAGGCTGAGGTGGGTGGATCACCTGAGGTCAGGAGTTTGAGACCAGCCTAGCTAATATAGTGAAACCTCATCTCTACTAAAAATACAAAGAAATTAGCCAGGCATGGTGGCAGGCCCCTGTAGTCTCAGCTACTTGGGAGGCTGAGGTGGGAGAATCACTTGAACCCGGGAGGTGGAGGTTGCAGTAAGCAAGACTGCATGCACCACTGCACTCCAACTTGTGTGACAGAGAGAGACTCCATCTAAAAAAGAGAAAAACAATTTTGACCTCGTAATGCAACAGTATTTTTTTTTCTTTTGAGTGAGACCTCAATTTTTTTTTTTTTTTTTTTTTTTTTTTGTATTTTTAGTAGAGACGAGGTTTCACCATGTTGGCCAGGCTGATCTCAAACTTCTGACCTCAGGTGATCCACCTGCTTTGGCCTCCCAAACTGCTGGGATTACGGGTGTAAACCACTGCACCTGGCACAAGAGTTTTTGTTCTCTTTCTTAAAGACCTCCCTCCTGAAGACTTTCTTGCTTCAAATTGAACTTGTTGACTTGGCTGGCATCTTAGAGTTGTTTCTTTTCCATTACCCTGAGACTTCTTTCTCTCTCTCTTTGGTGGAACAAGTCTTTCATATCTTCCTGGGGAAGGGTGCATTAGAAGTAAAAATTTTGAAGCCTTGCATGTTTTTACTCTCCTCACATGCTGATTGATAGTTTGGCTGGATATAAAATTGCAGGTTAGACATAATTTTCTTTCAGAACTTTCAAAGTATTGTTCCATTGTCTTCTAGCTTTCAGCATCACTGTTGAGCAGTCTGATTTTATTTTAAATCCTAGTTTTGGGCCGGGCACAGTGGCTCATGCCTGTAATCCCAGCACTTTGGGAGGCCGAGGTGGGTGGATCACCTGAGGTCATGAGTTCGAGACCAGCCTGGCCAACATGGCGAAACCCCATCTGTGTTAAAAATACAAAAATTACGCCTATAATCCCAGCACTTTGGGAGGCTGAGGGGGGGTGGATTACTGGAGGTCAGGAGTTCAAGACCAACCTGGCCAACATGGTAAAACCCCATCTCTACTAAAAATACAAAATTAGCTGGATGTGGTGGCTTGCACCCGTAATCCCAGCTACTCGGGAAGCTGAGGCAGGAGAAACGCTTGAACCTGGGAGGCGGAGGTTGCAGTGAGCTGAAATTGCACCATTGCACTCCAGCCTGGGCAAGAAGAGCAAAAGTCCGTTAAAAAAACAAAATTAGCTCGGCGTGGTGGTGCATTCCTGTAATCCCAGCTACTGGGGAGGCTGAGGCAGGAGAATTGCTTGAACCCAGGAGGCAGAGGTTACAGCGAGCTGAGATCACGCCACTGCACTCCAGCCTGGGCACAGAGCAAGACTCTGTCTCAAAAAAAAAAAAAAAAAATCCTAGTTTTGCCTGGCACTGTGATGCCTATAATCCTAGCACCTTAGGAGTCTGAGGTAGGAGGATTGCTTGAGGCCAAGAGTTTGAGACCAGAGTGGTCAACATTAGCAAGATCCCTGTCTCCATTAAAATAAAAATAAAAATAACTAAAAAATAAATAAATAAAATTAGAAAAAAAATCTTAGGTTTTCTCTTCAGGGCTTGGCAGAATGCCTGGGACATGGTGACATTCAGCAAATCTTTGTTGAGTGAGTGAACACAGATACTTGCCACATCCAGAATGTTTGGTGAAGCTATTGTCATTGACATATTGACTCAGAATGTGTTGCTTTGCCGTTATGATTGTCTACCAGCAGTTCCTGTGTTCTGTGTGGTTTAGGGGGGAGCTGTTTTCATCCTAATCTTATTCTGGAGGCTCTCACCACTGGGGTCCAGGAAGTTCCAGTCTGATTAGTGCTGGCTCCACCCCCAAGCTGCTGCAGAAACCTACCATAATCCAAGATTTTCGGGGGCCTGTTGGTCAAGCATTGCCCACCACCCTTCTGTCTGCAGGTGGAGGCAGTTCAGACTGACCTTGGATGTCTGGGGTATTGCCTCCAAGGGCGTGTGCTCCAAAGGCTGCTCCTGCCAATTGGCCCTGGCCTATCACAGTTCCCTGCACCCCATAAGCCATCTCTCTAGTAACAACTTTTCAAGATGCCCCTCCTCTCCATTCCAGTGCTCCTGTCTTGGTTCAGACCATTACATTTCTCTCCTGGTACACTCCTGTAATCTAACTGGTCTCTCTGCCTATGGGCTAGTTAACCACCTTGCAGGGTTTTTTTGTTTGTTTGTTTGTTTGAGACAGTTTTGCTCTTGTTGCCCAGGCTGGAGTGCAATGGCGTGATCTCGGCTCACTGCAAACTCCACTTCCCGCGTTCAAGTGATTCTCCTGCCTCAGCCTCCCAAGTAGCTGGGATTACAGGCATGTGCCACCATGCCCAGCTAATTTTTGTGTTTTTAGTAGAGACAGGGTTTCACCATGTTAGTCAGACTGGTCTCAAACTCCTCACCTCAGGAGATCCACCCACCTCGGCCTCCCAAAGTGCTGGGATTACAGGCGTGAGCCCCACACCTGGCCTGCAGTTTTAAAATATATCTGCAGAACTTCAACAGGTTTCCCTCCCAAAGATGGAGGTTCATTCCTCTTTCCTTGAGTGGAGGCTAGACTTACTGACTCACTTCTAACAGATTGAATATGGCAGAAGTGATTGTATGTGATTGGGTCATATAGCACTGGGACTTCCCCCATGTTCCCTCTTGGATCACTGGCTCCAATGTTCGTTGCCATGTTGCAAGCAGCACCATGGAGAGGCCCATGGGGTGAGGAACTGAGGCCTTCTGTGAATGGCAGATGAGTGGGCCATGTTTGGAGGTTCTAGCAGGGGAGCACAGCCACTCACATACCCTTGACCAAAGAACAGCCCTCTATCGGGGAAGGTCGTCCTCTTCAACCTAGCGCACAGCTTCGGGAAGGACATATGTGGAGCAGTGAGAGAGGAAGGGGACACCTGCCGCACCATCCAGATCAGCTGAATCAACCCTGGCAATCAATGGTGTGACAGATATCATAGCCGGATCGAAGTGGGCCATTTTAGAAGCACATCTGCTGGCCGAGTCAAGCCTTTAGACAGCTTGTCTGCAACCTCGTAGGAAGCCCTGAATGACAACCAAGCTGCTGCCAGATTCCTAACTTTCAGAAACCATGTGAAATAGTAAATATTCATTGTTTTAAGCTGCTAAGTTTTGAGATAATACACTATGTAGCAATAGATAACTAATATACCACTTTCCAAATTACCCTTCATATCACTGCCAAAGTAATCTTTCTTTTTCTTTTTCTTTTTCTTTTTTTTTTTTTTTTTTGAGACAAAGTCTCACTCTGTCACCCAAGCTGGAGTGCAGTGCCACAATCTCGGCTCACTGCATCTCCGCCTCCTGGGTTCAAGCGATTCTCCTGCCTCAGCCTCCCGAGTAGCTGGGGTTACAGGCACATGCCACCACCCCTGGCTAATTTTTTTGTATTTTTAGTAGAGACAGGGTTTCTCCATGTCGGTCAGGCTGGTCTCAAACTCCTGACCTTAGGTGATCCACCCACCTCGGCCTCCCAAAGTCCTGGGATTACAGGCATGAGCCACCGTGCCTGGCCAAAGTAATCTTTCTAAAATAAAAATCTGTTAGCAAGGTGCCTGTGGTCCCAGCTACTCGGGAGGCTGAGGTGGGAAGATCAATTGAGCCCAGGAATTCTGGGTTACAGTGAGCTAAAGAAAGAGAGAGAGAGAGAGAGAGAGAGAGAGAGAGAGAACGAAAGAAAAAGAGAAAATGAAAACCTGATCAAATAATTTTCCTTCTAGAATCCTTCTGTGGCTACCCATGACTTTCAAGATTAAGTCCTAACTCTTTTGCTTAGCACACAGGGCAAGAGAATGGCGTGAACCCGGGAGGCAGAGCTTGCAGTGAGCCAAGATTGCACCACTGCAGCCTGGGTGACAGAGAGAGACTCCGTCTCAAAAATAAAAAATAAAAAAATAATAATAATAATAAAGGAGAAGGATGGGTCTCTTTCCTTCGGCTCCCCTGGCGAGGAGATTCCTGGCTCTAGGGCTGACAGCCAACCAATACAGTGTTGTTAATGTATTGAAATACTTTCATTCTAGTTAGCAAACAGCCATCCCTGAGCCCCTTGAATACTCTTTCATCATCCTAGCCTGCTTTCCTTGGGACCCCAAGACTTCTTCTGAATCCAGCAAGTAAAAGAGCATCTCAGCGGACCTCCGGGATCCTAACGCAGTTGGAATGTCCATTCTGATTGCTGGGGCTGTGTTGCTGTGCAGGTTGTTAAAATTTGTGAATATCACCTCTGGCCAGACCCATTGCCTCAGTGTTGAGGAAAGACCATTTTGGGGGCAATTAGGGGCTCTGGGTTCGAGTCCTATCACCAACAGGCGGTGTAACATTGGATACATTGTCCTTTATGGGTCTGAGTTTCTTTACCTATAGAATGAGGGCGCTGGGCCAGGTGAGCTCTGAAGTTTTTGACAGAATCCTGTGATTCCATCCTCATCCTCCAAACAGGTGTGTACCTGTGTGTGTACCTATGTGCGTACATGAGTGTACATGTGTATATTCCCATGTTTCCTTGCTACTGAGCTTCGTTTCCAAGTGCAACAAAACCTGCTGTCCCCTATACCTTCAGGCTGGCCCAGGGCAAATGCCTGATAGTCTCTGAGCCATGGGGCCTGGAGCTTGTGCTCTCCTCCCTTCTGTGTCCCTTCCCCCTTCAATCCTGGACTGTTCACAGCTGCATAGACTCAGACCCTCTGTCTACCTAGCCAGAGCCCTGTTCGAGCCAGCTCTTCCCGCCGAGCTGTGCAGAGCTGTGCAGAACCGCTTCTGGCTCTGAACTGCTCCCTGCTCCTCCTTGTCTACCTTCCTCTTCCCAACCCCAGTCCCAGGTTCAGCCCTGCCAGTCCTCAGCTTGGGAGGCCCCCAGTGAGCACAGGTACTAGATGTTCCCAAAGTCCAAGCGTAGATGAGGGTGGGGCCGGAGTGGGCATGACCAACGTGGTGGAGCTGGCATCTGTCGCAGCTAGCGGGGAAAAGGTTTGAGGGGTAGGAAGCAGCCCCTCCCCCAGCGCTGGGAAATGAGTAGGGGTCTTCTAGGGTGCTGGCAGAGAGGGAACTTCTGGCTTCTACCCTGTTCCCTGAGTGAAGGACAAGCTCAGTCCTCCTGCCCTCACCTTCCCATCAGGAGCCCCAAGTCCTGCAGGCTTAGAGATGATGTGCTGTCTTCCAGGGAGAGGTGGCATGATTATATCTGCGCTCTATCAGGCTAGTAGCTCTGTGATTTTCACCCAGAAAGGAAGCCCCCAAAGATGAATCTTCTTGAACATGAGAGCTCCCCCTCACTCAGAGGCCACATACATGTGGTCTGTGGATTAGCTGCGTTACATGGGATGCTATAAAAGGCAGATTCTTGTGTCCCTAGAGTGAGAGGGGAAGGGCATATGTCTGCACTTTGAACACTCCCTCCTTTCCCTGATATTCTCATGCACATAAACGTTAGTGTGCATTAATTTGTGAATATCATCTCTGGGAGACCCATTGCCTCAGTGTTGAGGAAAGACCATTTTGGGGGAAATTAGGGGTTGTGGGTTCGAGTCCTATCACCAACAGGCAGTGTAACCTTGGATACATTGTCTACTAAGGGTCTCAGTTTATGCACATAAACTTTAGTGTGCATAAGAATTTCAGGAAAAGGAGGTTGTGTTAAAGTTAACACATTAACCTGTGTTCTAATGAGCTTTCCAATCTTCTTCCTAGGGACATCCAGATAGAAGTATCTTTCTTTGCAGCTATAATTTGGAATTCTTTAGAATTCTGTTAGAGCCTTCAGGATCTGTTACTTCCTGCTTCTCTCGGCTTGGAGTGGATCCCAGATGCTTGACTGTGCTGCCTTCAGGCTCTGGGCCCTTTCCCTTCACGGTGCCGGTCCTCCAGGGCCAGCTGGTTGTGGCTCCCTGATCGTGATGGAGATTCACAATGTCGATTCTTGATGTCATCTGCTGCAATCCCAGAGCAGTTGGTGGCTCATTGTCATAGCCTGGCTTCATTTCTGTGTTCTGTTGAAATTGCCTATCGATTGTTCTTCTAGAGATAATTGTGCGCGTCTTTAAGGAAGGTTTCCTAATCCTGGGTCTATGAAGGTCTGCGGATTGGCTGCAGAGGGCCAGCAAACCTTCTGAAATGGATACAGAACTGAGTGTGTGTGTGTGTGTGTGTGTGTGTGTGTGTGCGTGCATTGCATTTTTCTGGGGCAAGTTCATAGCTTTCCAAAGATTCTCAAAAGTGTCTGTGACCTAAAATATATTAAGAGACCCTTAAGGGCAAGGACTTTATCTTAGCTGTCTCTTTGTTCCCCATGGTACCACCAAGCGTGGTGCTTTGCATAAAACACATGTAAACATGATGTTCACTAAAGTTCATTGCTTCTGTTGAAGGGTGATGGTCTCCACTCCCTGGATACACCAGCCTGGGAGGTGCCTTCTCAATGGAAAGACAAAAAGAGCATTTTCTCGCTCCCTTTCTAACTCCGCTGCCACCATAGCTCCTGTGAAAAAGCTTGTGGCGAAGGGGGACAAAAAAAAGAAGAAGGTTCTGAAGTTCACTCTTGATTGCACCCACCCTGTAGAAGATGGAATCATGGATGCTGCCAATTTTGAGCAGTTTTTGCAAGAAAGGATCAAAGTGAATGGAAAAGCTGGGAACCTTGGTGGAGGGGTGGTGACCAACGAAAGGAGCAAGAGCAAGATCACTGTGACATCCAAGGTGACTTTCTCCAAAAGGTATTTGAAGTATCTCACCAAAAAAATTTGAAGAAAAATAATCTATGTGACTGGTTGCGCATACTTGCTAACAGCAAAGAGAGTTACGAATTACATTACTTCTAGATTAACCAGGATGAAGAAGAGGATTAAATTTCATTTATCTGGAATATTTTGTATGAGTTCTTGAATAAAACTTGGGAACTAAAAAAAAAAAAGAGCATTTTCTCTCTAAAAAAAAAAAATCCCTGTCACCTGGAGAGTCCACACATCACGCCCGGGCTCAGTAGTGGCACGTCCTCTCTCCCCAAGATGGGTGGGGAGGTGGAGTGGGTGGACAAGAAAGACACCATCCCCCATCCCTAGGCAGGTCTGAAATTGAATTCACCCCCAGGAGGAAGGAGAAATTTGCCAACCTAATAGCTTTCATTCTGTGTGAGCTTTTCCTGCTGCACGGGAAGGGGGACCCCTCTGGTTCTTAAAGGAGACAATGAATCTTCATTCATTTGTGCTCTGCAGTGTTTGTAGATTGGGTAGACCTGGAGGGGAGTCAAGGTTCTTTTAGATTCTTTCAACAATGGAAGGCAATTGGAATTGGGTCCTACTGAGTCAGCACACCTGTCATCTGTGTCTGCGGTGGCTGGACCAGCTGCTTAGGGAAAAACACGGGTCCAGAGCTCTTCCAAGGACACGTTTCCAGGTCCTTTCTAGCCTGAAAATACCTGAGTCTGAGAAACGAGCCTGGGATTGCCAATGGCAGTGGAAATGTGTTAGGCATGGGCAGTCTCTGCCGTGGAAGGGGTGGTATCCACTGGCTGAGCACTTCCTATGACCCAGGAGTGCCCGGCCCCTCCTCATCCTTACGGAAGCCTGTGTTCTCAGTCACCCTGGGAGGGGGCCATGAGTTCCTCCTTTACAGGTGAGAAAGCTGCCCTGAGTTGCCCGGGGTCCTGAGGCCAGGGAGTGGCAGAGCCGGGATCTGCCTCCAGAGCTCCACATCGCTCTGTGCCACTGCCACCCAGCCCAGAGGGCTCTGGGAAGCTGGCAGCAGAAGGCTTGGGCATTTGGGTTGTTGCCCTGTCACTTAGCTGTTGGCCTCAACTGACATTTCGGGCCTCAGTTTCCCTGTCTGTGAAAATGAGAGGATACGTGAAAGGACGGCAGCGACAGAGCAGCAGCCTCGGCAAACCTCCGGAAACCAGGAGGGGCTGTGGAAGTGCCAGGGGCCCAGGAGCCTGAGCTGGGAATGGGAAGGAGAAGGCAGAGGTGGGGCTGGGGATGAGGCCTGCCCAGGCCCAGTGTGGAAGTGCTGGGTTGGTCCACCCTTCCTGTCTCCCGCAGCCGGTCCCTTCAGTCTCCTCCCCCGCCCTGCCCTCTGGGCTTTCCTCTGGGCTGGCTTTTCACAAACCTCTGACGAGTGTGAGGAATGAAATTCTGACCTGAGCCCACCCTCTCCCGGCCTCCCGGGAACATGGGCGTTTGAATGGAAGGGATTCGCAGCCTGGGTCCTGGAGGTGCAAAGGAAGGCGTCTGGCTGGTCCAGCCCTCAGCCTCAGGGAACCAGGGTGCGGATGTTGAGTGTGCCCTGCCCAGGGACTGTGGCTCCAGCCTGGTCCGGCTCTGCCAGGGAAGGCAGACGGGGTGGTCTGGCTTCCGAGAGTCGGGCCAGTGTCTGGGCTGGGCCTCAGGCAGATCCCCTGGGCTGCATCTCCACTCTCCCTGCCTCCTACACAGGGTGGGGTTCCCTTCCCACCCTCTTCTGTGGAGCCCAGATCCTCTCCAGCCCTGGTCTGGGACCCGGGGCCCACTCCCCTCCTGCCAGCTTATGTCCCAGCACTGCTTGACCCTGGCCCAACTGTGAGGGACAGGAGAGCCACAAGAGCAGCCGGCCGCATCCAGGAGGTGGAAACCAGGAGTCAGCTGGGCCCATGCTGGAGGAGCAAGGCACCCGGCCGGCTGCCTGCTGGGGGAGTTTCTGAATTGCCTACTGGCTGAGACTGTCAAAGGGGTGTGAACCAGAGCAACTCCATATTGAATAGGAGCTGGGTAAAATGAGGCTGAGGCCTACTAGGCTGCATTCCCAGACGGT